>NC_000013.11:77953560-78105075 GCF_000001405.40 Homo sapiens | reverse complement strand
CTTAGACGTGGCTTTCTTTTCTGTTACCTGAAAATTTACTCCTCTATTCTTGAAGTTCAACAAGTTAAACGTGCTATTTTTCAGTGTTGGTTGCTTGATGATGATGATGATAATGTGTTTCCTTAAACACACTACCCTTCATTAAAAACTCTAGATGTCAATATATGTTTCAGAAAAAAGTGTTATTCCATTATTCCTTTCAATACTTTTTCTGTTTTACTTACTGAATTTCCTGTTTCATGGACACTGGTTTTCATTTTTGTTTAATTTTTAATTTTTGTGGAGACATAGGTGTATGTATTTATGAGCTACATGAGATACCTTGATATAGTCATATAATGTGTAAAATCACCTCAGGGTGAATGGGGTATCCATTGCCTCAAGCATTTATCCTTCGTTTTACAAACTATCCAGTTATACCCTTTTAATTATTTTTAAATGTCCAATTACATTTTTATTGATTTATTTTGGACTATCTTTGAAATCAAATTTTATTATTATCTCCATAATTTTTATTGACTTTTTCTTAGCAATTCCTCTAATTATCTCAAGTCTCTCTGGAAAAGTAATTTGATATTCAACCATTTATTCTGTCCCTGGGTGTTATTTTTAAGATACTGTTTCTGTAATAATGTTATTTGCATTCTTAATTCACCAATGATTTCTTGTATTAGTCAACTTATAATAATAACTAAACTCTTTTATTGTGGGCTGAATTTGAAAGGAAATTTCATTTGTTCCTTGTGGTATGTTTCCTTCCAGAACTAGTCTTAAGGGATTTTTATTTTTTAAATGTGGTATATTGTCACAATTTCCACGCCAATTCTTTGCATTTTCTTTCTGGTTGAGATGAGTAACTCATGCAAATCTATTTCTTTCAGCCACTTGGCCCCCTTGAAGGCTCAAATTAGCTGTTTCATCCACTTTTCTGTAACCTGATGGCAGTGGTTAAGTGTCTGTAGGAGGAAAATGGAAGTGGGGAAGAGCTCATTAGAGTCTATGTGCGTCCCTCAGAGGAGGTCACTTCACTTATTTGGGAAAGAATTTTAGTCCTAAAAGAGAATCTACTGGGACTTTGAATTTTTTCTGAAATTCATCAGGAAGTCCTGGAAAATGTCAGTCCTCTCCAGAGGATTTTCTCTGGTCCATTTCTATTGCCTCTGTTGGTGTGGCCTTTTCTCTACTGGATTTTTCCTTGACTCATCCTGGAAGAACTCTCTTATCCTCTCAGCTTCAGCTTGCATGCTCCTTTCTAACCTGGTGGTGGTAGGTACAATTTTAAATAAGAACACTGAGCATTTTATCTCTCCAATTCTGCTACTGTAATATGGGAGTAAAGATAGGAGTCTCCATATTCAGCTCCATGCCAGACAGTTTGCCTCGATCACCACATTTTGAACTTGGTGACATGTGGTTCCTCCTCTTTTCTTGTTTTGTTGTTGGGTGAACTTTGTAACACTTTCACTTATTTATATAATATTTGATTCACTGTATTACCTACTGGGTGAGAGGACTTCTGTACTCTGGCTTTATTCTGCCCTTTTACCCTAAAATCTATAATATTTTAATATAACTCTATTATTATGACACAAGCAATACATATCCATAAACACACACACATGCCACATGTAAGAAAAAAAAGTCTGTAATTCTACCATGAAGTAATCATTATTGTTAAGGTAGAGATAGTATTTTTCTATGATAATATAGATGACTTTTAATGAATATATAATTATATGTTAATAAACTTTCTATGTATGTATATGTTATTTTGACAAATTAATTATATAGTTTTGGTTTGCTATTATTCTCTTCCTTTAAGGTGCTTTTAAAGTATGATTTCATATCAGTAAATATTGTTTCAAATTGGTCCCGTGCATCCCATTTTATGAATCTAATTCTTTTAACCAGTATTACATTGTAGGGTACTTAGATTTTTTCCAATGAGTCCTATTTTAAACAATGTTGAGATGCACATGTTTGTACAGCATACTTTGTGATATTGCTTTTATTTTCTTCAGACAAAGCCCAAGAGGTAAGCGCAAATGATTATTTGAGAAGGAATCCACATTCATACTGAGACTGCAAACAATATTGTCTTTCTTCAATTACAGTTGGCCTAGATGGTTTGGACACTCTGGGAACAACTATCTTTGATTTCTATAACAACTAAATTTTGGAACTAAAAAGACAATACTAGAATATGGTAGTGCACGTGTAGTTATAGCACTGAATACATTTCCAAAAGGATTTATATAGCAATTGATTTGGATCCTAAGCCCTCATGACCAAGATCCTGAATTTTTTAAAAAGCTACTACAGAGCTGGTAAGTGACTAATGTATTTTGCCGGATTAGAAGACATCAAGTTTCAGTCTTATGATTAGCAATTTAAAGTGTTATTAAAAATTCTAAAACTGCATTTAAGTGATGAAAAATTGCTGTGTCATACTGAGACTACTAAGAACAATGTGTGATGCAGCAATAACTCATCCAAAAATAGCAAACTCATGACTTGTTTCTTGTTTTGCCCTTACCACTGAAAACTTCTCTTTCTCTCCAGCACCGTCAGCTACCAGGGATGGAGAGGGAAGGGACAGAGAGAGAAACTCATGAACTCAGAAATTTGCCCTGATGCAGCCATCTGCAAGGTCATCCCACATACACTAACATCTGCTGGGACTTGGATGCAGCTGCTCTGAAGGGAAGTTGGGACAGAAAAGGAAAGGGGCTGTTGCTCAATCTTTACTTTCTTTGGCTGCTAGTGCTGGTTCATCTTGCATAAAGCACTGGCAATGGAACAAGCTTCTATTGACCAAGATATTATCATGTTGAGACCACTCCAGCAATCCCAGAGTCCCCAGTGAGGGTGCAGAATTCACCCCATTCCAGGTTGGACTGAGTCGTTAGTAGAAACAGTCCTAGGGCCACTTTGGGAGGCCGAGGCGGGTGGATCATGAGGTCAGGAGATCGAGACCATCCTGGCTAACAAGGTGAAACCCCGTCTCTACTAAAAATACAAAAAATTAGCCGGGCGCGGTGGCGGGCGCCTGTAGTCCCAGCTACTGGGGAGGCTGAGGCAGGAGAATGGCGTGAACCCGGGAAGCGGAGCTTGCAGTGAGCCGAGATTGCGCCACTGCAGTCCGCAGTCCGGCCTGGGCGACAGAGCGAGACTCCGTCTCAAAAAAAAAAAAAAAAAAAAAAAAAAGAAAAGATCCACTTCTGACCCTGACCAAAGGTTGTTTTTGTTTTTTTCCTACATTGGAACTGAATTTTGCCCACTCCATGTGCTTCTGAGGTCTTGTCTTATATATTTTTTCTTATTCCAAAATTCCAGTCCCAAACAGGAATGCTCCATAAAGTGGCTTATGCAGAGCTTCCTCAGTAAAAACACAAAAAGGGCAGGTGCATTGGTGACTCTCCTGAGAATGTTGTGTGCAATGATACATCTTGATTCTCCTATCACCTCAAATAAAGCCAGGCCTGTTGAATGAACAAAGCAGAAAATCAAGGGACATGGATAAGCAGATAAGTTTCCTTCCAAGAAGAAAGAGTAGTGATCCCTCAGGAATACTTGCCTTTTCCAACCTATGATCTTCCTCTGTTACCCAGGAGAATGCCTTACTTCAGCTCTGGCAGGTGTGAGTAGGGTAGACTTTGCTCAATTAATCTATGAACTTACATTTTATTGAGTTCAGCCAGCCTTGTGCTATATGACTTAGGAAAGTCACAAACATATGCATGCCTCTGTTGTCATCAAATCATTTGAAAAATGCTAAACAAATTTTGGAGGTAGTGTTTGGTGTTTGAGATGCTCTTACATAAAACTGAGGCTAGGCAGCAAATGCCATTTTGCTTTGAAGAGTCCTGGGATTAAACCAAAAATGATAGGTGATCATATTTAATAGAATTAAAACTAAGATACAGCTGGAATCCGATCAGATCACTAAGTAGGAGAGCCTTGCCATGCATATAGAGATGTCATGAACAGAGCAAACAAATAGGATTTATATGTAAGGCCCAAAATAGAGGACAAATGGACAAATACCCCAAGACAGAGGCATTTACTTGGATTGAGATGTTTTTCACTTGCACGATTTTTAAAGCTCTTCACCACAACATCAGTGTTGTATAAACTGCTTATAGCAGACCCAAGGCATGCATTGTGGAACTTATCCAACAGTAGCTGGTTTCTTGCAACCTGACACAACTAATCAGGTAGCCAAACAGTTGGGTGTGGTGGCCAGGTTGACAGAGTTTCTGCCATCTTTCACATGTGGCTTCCATGTTCTCTGCCATCAGCATTCCAGAGGGCCAGGAACACGGAAGAGCACATGTGGGAGGATTTTAATGAGTCAGGCCTGAAATGGCACATGCCACTCCCTCTCACATTTTATTGGCCAACAGAGTCTCAGACAGAACTGGGAAACAGGGTTCAGCTGACGCTTAGACAGAAAAGGAGAACATATGTTTTGGTGAGCAGGCTCTTTCTCTAGGGTATTTGTTTAATCATATAAAGGTTAATAAAGATTCTTCCACACAGCGCTAATACAGACGAGATGATAATGGAAAACACTTGCTGAATGTTCATGATGTACTTGGCACTGTTTTGTGAACTGTATAGGTATAAATTACATCAATCCTCACCAATTTCTGAGGTATATAATGCAATTATTTCCATGTCCATACAGATGAGGCAACAAAGACTCAGAAAAAATTAAGCAAGTTTTTCAAGATCACATAGCCAGCAAGTGGCAGAGCAAGGAACTCAGTTAGATCCACTCTGGACCTACACCTCTAGGCAGAGAGGTAGATCAGGACGTCTGCCTGACTGCAGAGGCTGGCATGGAATGTTTAGATGTGAGTTCAAGTTTACGACCAGACAGCCTGATACCCTGAGTCTGTGATGTGGTCTAAATACTCTTTACCTACAATGTCAAAAATCTCCTGGACCAGAACTCGATGTAATGGGCTTATTATTTACTTAAGCCTCTTTAGTTTTGGGGAATTTTTATTTGTTTTTAAATTTATTTTTATTATATATATTTAAGGTACATAACATGGTGTTTGGATATACATATATATGTATATCAGTATTTTGTTTTTGTTCTGGTTTTGATTATTATTTTTTTAACCAGCCACATGGTTTACAATGTGCAGTTTCTATAAACACATAATTGTAAAAATTAATTTTATTGTTAAAGATCACTAGTTAAGAGCCACACAGTAAATTGTTCTCAGAATTTAGTCCTAGCATAAAGTTTCTCTGTCCTAATGATCTACTAGTAGTATTCACTTTTATTTCACTGTAGAAGTTAATATAATCCATCACAGTGTCCTTTTTGCTAAATATACAAGAAAGCTGAGATTATTTTTTCAATTTTACCAACCCACTCCCCCAAAAGACTTTGATTTTTTAAAAAGTAATACTTTCTTTCCCATTTTCCTCTGCCTTTATTATACAACTTGTGGTTTTTATCTTTATTTTAATGGACTGATTCTGTGTGAACTCTTTATAGATGACTTCAATCTATTTCCAGAAGGAAATTGGTTAAGATAGTAGGGAACTGAGACTTGAGATTTGAAGGCCTTTAAGAGTTTGGCCAAATTATATACTATAAATCTTAAAGAAAATTAAAGGGTATTTCCTAGGTTTCCTTCAAGGGTTTTCACAGTTTTAGGTTTTGCATTTAAGTCTTAATCCATCTTGGGTTGATTTTTGTATATGGTATAAGGAAGGGGTTCAATTTCAATCTTCTGCATATGGCTAGCCAGTTATCCTAGCACTGTTTATTAAATAGAAAGTCCTTTTTCCATTGCTTGTTTTTGTCAACTTTGTCAGATATCAGATGGTTGCAGGTGTGCAGCTTTATTTCTGGGCTTTCTATTCTGTTCCATTCATCCATGTGTCTGTTTTTGTACCAGTACCATGCTATTTTGGTTACTATAGCCTTGTAGTATAGTTTCAACTCTGGTAATGTAATGTCTCCAGGTTTTTTCTTCTTGCTTAGGATTTCTTTGGCTATTCAGGGTCTTTTTTTGGTTCTATATGAATTTTAGAATAGTTTTTTTTTTCTAATTCTATAAAGAATGTCATTGGTAGTTTGAAAGGAATAGCATTGAATCTGTAAATTGCTTTGGGCAGTATGGCCATTTTAACAATATTGGTTCTTTCTATTCATGAGCATGAAATATTTTTCTGCTTGTTTATGTCATCTCTGATTTCTTTCAGCAGTGTTGTGTTATTCTCATTGTAGAGGTCTTTCATCTCCTTGGTTAATATATTCCTAGGTATTTTTTATTGTTGTTGTGGCTGTTGTGAATGGGATTGCATTCTTGATTTGGCATCTAGCTTGGATGTTGTTGGTGTATAGAAATACTACTGATTTGTGTACATTTCTTTTGTATCCTCAAACTTTGCTGAAGTTGTTCATCAGATCGAGCAGCTTTTGGGCAGAGACTATGGGATTTTCTAGGTATAAAATCATATCATCTGCAAACAGAGATAGTTTGACTTCCTCTCTTCCCATTTGGATGCTTTTTATTTCTTTCTCTTCCCTGATTGGTCTGGCTAGGACTATGTTGAATAGGAGTGGTGAGAGAGGGCATTCTTGTCCTGTTCCAGTTCACAAAGGAAATGCCTGCAGCTTTTGCCTGTTCAGCATGATGTTATCTTTGGGTTTTTCATAAACGGTTCTTATTATTTTGAGAGTTGTTCATTCAATGGCTAGTTTGTTGACGGTTTTTAACATGAGAGGATACTGAACATTATCAAAAGCCTTTTCTGCATCTATTGAGACAATTAGGTGGCTTTTGTTTTTAGTTCTGTTTATGTGATGAGTCACATTTATTGATTTATTGTTTGCATATGTTGAATCAAACTTGCATCCCAGAGATAAACTCTGCTTGATCATGGTAGATTAGCTTTTTGATATGCTGCTGGATTTGGTTTGTTAGTATTTTGTTGAGGATTTTTGCATCTATGTTCATCAAGAATATTGGCCTGAAGTTTACATTTGTTGTGTGTCTCTGCCAGGTTTTGGTATTATAATAACGCTGGCCTCATAGAATGAACTAGGGATGAGTCCCTCCTCTTCAATGTTTTGGAATAGTTTCAGTAGGAATGGTACCAGCTCTCTTTATACGTCTGGTAGAATTTGGCCATGAATTCTTCTGGTCCTGGGCTTTTACTGGTTTGAAGGCTTTTTATTACTGATTCAATTTCAAGAACACGTTATTGTGCTGTTCAAGATTTCAATTTCTTCTGGGTTTAATCTTAGGAGGTTGTACGTTATCATAAATTTATCCATTTCTTGTAGGTTTTCTAGTTTGTGTGCGTAGAGGTGTTCATAATAGTCTCTGAGGGTGTTTTGTATTTCTGTAGGATCAGTGGTAATATCCTCTTTGTCATTTCTTATTGTGCTTATTTTGATATCTCTTTGTTTATTTCTCTAGGTAGCAGTCTATCAATCTTATTTATTCTTTCAAAGAACAAAGTTCTGGTTTCATTGATCTTTTGTATGCTTTTTCACATCTCAATTTTATTCTGTTCAGCTGTGATTTTGGTTATTTTTTGTCTTCTGCTAGCTTTGAGGTTGGTTTGTTCTTGTTTTTCTAGTTCCTCTAGGTTTAATATTAGGTTGTTAGTTTGAAATCTTTCTAAATTTTTGATGTGGACACTTAGCACCATAGTTTCTTTTTAACACTGCTTTAGCTGTGTCCCAGATTTATATTTGCTCTCATTCATTTCAAAGAATTTTCAGATTTCTGCCTTAATTTTATTGTCTACCCAGAGGTCTTGTTTAATTTCCATGTAAATGTGTGATTCTGAGCAATCTCCTTACTATTGATTTCTACTTTTATAGTGCTGTGGTCTGAGTGTATGGTTGGTGTGATTTCAGTGTTTTTGAATTTGCTGAAAATTGTTTTATGACAAATTATGCGGTTGCTCTTAGAGTATATACCATGCGCAGATGAGAAGAATGTATATTCTATTGGTTTTGGGGGAGAGTTCTGTAGATGTCTGTTAGGTCCACTTGTTCAAATGTCAAGTTCAGTTCCTGCCTATCTTTGTTAGTTTTCTGCCTTGATGATCTGTCTTATACTGTGTCTGACAGTTTTTTAAATTACATTTTTAAATTTTAGTATAAGTCTAGATTCACCTATAATTGTAAGAAATTACCCAGAAAGATCCCCTGAAACCGTTACCCTGTTTTTTTCCAAAAGTAAGAAATTGCAAAACTATATTACAATATCATAACTAGGGTATTAACGCTGATACAGTTCAAGTACAGAACATTTTCATCATCACAAAGATCTTTCATTGTATTATTCAGGATCTCCAGAGAAGCAGAACCAATGTGATAAATAGACAGACAGATTATCATCTGTCTGGAAAAATATAGAGATAAGGAAAGATCTATTATAGAAATTGGCTCAGGCAATTGTGGAGGCTGAGACATCCTACAATATGCCATCTGCAAATCGGAGAACCAGGAAAGCTGGTGGGGCAATTCAGTTCAAAGTGAGAAAACCTGAGAACCAAGGGTAATGATGACATAAGTCCCAGAATATGAAGGCCAGAGAACCAGAAGCTATGATATCTAAGGGCAAGAGAAGAGGGATATCCCCCAGCTCAAGAGAGTAAGAGAAGTTTTCCTTCCTTCTCCTTTTTGTTCTATCAGGGCCCTCAATGAATCAGATGGTGCCTACCCACACTGCTAATGATGCATCTTCTTTACTCAGTCTACTCTTTCAAATGATATATTTTTTTCCTGAAACACTCTCAGAGATATACTCAGAAATAATGTTTTACCAGCTATCTAGGCAAGTCTTTTTTTTTATTATTATTATACTTTAAGTTTTAGGGTACATGTGCACATTGTGCAGGTTAGTTACATATGTATACATGTGCCATGCTGGTGCGCTGCACCCATTAACTCGTCATCTAGCATTAGGTATATCTCCCAATGCTATCCCTCCCCCCTCCCCCCACCCCACCACAGTCCCCAGAGTGTGATATTCCCCTTTCTGTGTCCATGTGATCTCATTGTTCAACTCCCACCTATGAGTGAGAATATGCGGTGTTTGGTTTTTTGTTCTTGTGATAGTTCACTGAGAATGATGATTTCCAATTTCATCCATGTCTCTACAAAGGACATGAACTCATCATTTTTTATGGCTGCATAGTATTCCATGGTGTATATGTGCCACATTTTCTTAATCCAGTCTATCATTGTTGGACATTTGGGTTGGTTCCAAGTCTTTGCTATTGTGAATAATGCCGCAGTAAACATAAGTGTGCATGTGTCTTTATAGCAGCATGATTTATAGTCATTTGGGTATATACCCAGTAATGGGATGGCTGGGTCA
The DNA here is from genome assembly GCF_000001405.40 of Homo sapiens. Taxonomy (NCBI): domain Eukaryota; kingdom Metazoa; phylum Chordata; class Mammalia; order Primates; family Hominidae; genus Homo; species Homo sapiens. The sequence goes on along the minus strand of NC_000013.11, from coordinate 78,095,704 downwards.
AATGGTATTTCTAGTTCTAGATCCCTGAGGAATCGCCACACTGACTTCCACAATGGTTGAACTAGTTTACAGTCCCACCAACAGTGTAAAAGTGTTCCTATTTCTCCACATGCTCTCCAGCACCTGTTGTTTCCTGACTTTTTAATGATTGCCATTCTAACTGGTGTGAGATGGTATCTCATAGTGGTTTTGATTTGCATTTCTCTGATGGCCAGTGATGGTGAGCATTTTTTCATGTGTTTTTTGGCTGCATAAATGTCTTCTTTTGAGAAGTGTCTTTTCAGGTTCTTTGCCCACATTTTGATGGGGTTGTTTGTTTTCTTCTTGTAAATTTGTTTGAGTTCATTGTAGATTCTGGATATTAGCCCTTTGTCAGATGAGTAGGTTGCGAAAATTTTCTCCCATTTTGTAGGTTGCCTGTTCACTCTGATGGTAGTTTCTTTTGCTGTGCAGAAGCTCTTTAGTTTAATTAGATCCCATTTGTCAATTTTGTCTTTTGTTGCCATTGCTTTTGGTGTTTTGGACATGAAGTCCTTGCCCATGCCTATGTCCTGAATGGTAATGCCTAGGTTTTCTTCTAGGGTTTTTATGGTTTTAGGTCTAACGTTTAAATCTTTAATCCATCTTGAATTGATTTTTGTATAAGATGTAAGGAAGGGATCCAGTTTCAGCTTCCTACATATGGCTAGCCAGTTTTCCCAGCACCATTTATTAAATAGGGAATCCTTTCCCCATTGCTTGTTTTTCTCAGGTTTGTCAAAGATCAGATAGTTGTAGTTGGCACAAAAAGTTAGCCATTGCATCTCTCTTGCCCTTTTATAGCCACACCCACTTTCCTCTGCTCCGCCCTTTGCACTCCTTGGGCCCTGGCAACCACTAATGAGTTCTTCATTTCAATACTGTGTCATTTCAATAACATTTTAAATGGATTCATATATAAGAGGCAGAAAAAAAAACCCAGGAATTCACCACTTTGTCACTGCTTGGATCCCAAGAGCCCTAGCTGGTCTCTTCATTTTTGTTTTATATATAATGTCCAAGGTTTTTAGTTTTACTTAATGGAAGGGATAGGAAAAATATGTTTACTCCAGTTTTTTGGAAGTATCTTGATGTACTTTTAAACATGGATTAATATTTTCTATAGGATCAATGTAGGCTTAATATATTATCATTTTCTTCTATTTCATTAATTCATGCCCTATCAAGATTTAACATAGAGAGAAGTGTATTATTTTTAACATCAAGATGAACCATATGTTTTCAAAGCCCCACAAAAACCCCAAGTGTATTGGCGCTCCATTTGCATCAACTTTAAAATTTGTATTCAAATGAAGCTTTGGTGGGATAGTTAATTTTCTTTGAAGGAAACTCTCTTTTGTAGTAAAAATGTGCTAGTTCAGTGAATCCAAAACACTGGTGAACTCAAAACACTGTGGATACATTTACTTGGAAGATTCTTTTCACTAGAACACTGAACATGAAGAACGTACCTTATTATGTCAGATATTAGTAAGTTTCCCTTTCAAGCAACCTTCTATAATTAGATAATAGCTGGAGATTGTTAAAGTAAAATTAACTTAACAAAAGATATTTACTTCAAACTTTACTTCCTCTGCCTTAATTTAAGCTATATTTAAAGTTAGGAGTTACCTTTTTATTTTTATTTTTATTTTATTTTATTATTATTATTTTTTAAGACAGAGTCTCACTCTGTCACTCAGGCTGGAGTGCAGTGGCACGATCTCTGCTCACTGCAACCTCCGCCTCCCAGGTTCAGGGGATTCTCCTGCCTCAGCCTCCCGAGTAGCTGGGTGCCCCCCACCACATCTGACTAATTTTTGTATGTTTAGTAGAGGTTGGGTTTCACCATGTTGGCAAGGCTGGTCTCAAACTCCTAACCTCAAATGATCCAACCATCTCAGCCTGCCAAAGTGCTGGGATTACAGGCATGAGCCACTGCACCCAGCCAGGAGTTACCTATTTTAGGCAAGCACAGTAAGGAGATAATTAAAACCTTTAGAGTCCAGTTATTAAAGATTTACAACTACTTAAGAACTGCACCAACTCTTGAGGATAATGCACAATGAAGAATAGAAGAAAAATATGAAGAGTAATTAAGAATAAGGTCATAGAAGACAATCTCTGGAGTAATGCCTGCATTTAGTACTATTCATGAAAAAAACAGGAAGCATATATTTGGGCATGAATTTAACTACTAGGAAACCACAGTCCTATTTATTCTGAAAGCCTATATTTCAACATTTTCTTATCTAAAAGTAAAATTAATTTAGCATTTTAATTGAACATTCTCCCTCATCTAAATACCATTTTTTCTCTTAGTGTTCAATAGCTATATGCTATGAAACTATATTAGCATATTTTTGTGAATCTCTAAAATATATCTGAAATCTCAAACCTCATTTTTACTTTTGATACTATTCAAAAGTAGTCTATATTTTTGTAGCTAATTAAAACTAACATAAGAAATCACTACAATTAGAGTACATCCTACATAGGTAATTCACTTATCCGTTCATTTATTTAACATTTATTTACTGGTCTCCTTTTATATGCCAGGAGCTGTGCCGCATGTTAAAATGTTAAAACACCAAATAACTAACAATTCTTGTCCCTGTAGAATTCATGTAACAAGATGTGAAGAAACCCTACATAACATAATTTAGAAATACAATTATAATTTATGGAAATGAAACTTAAGACTGCCTCATTCGTCTGTTGTTCAGTTATTTTCCTGAATGAAATAGACAATTGCAGTGCCTTTAGTTTATTTTGCTGTGTCAGTGTAGCCCTAAATTTATAACTAAGGTCAAGTCCTCCTAAAAACAACGTAAGCAACAGTGTTGTTTGGTGCCTTAGCATTGTGGTTGACATCCCTTTTGATGTGCCACAAGATATGTAAACAGTAGAAAATACATATGGTATATCTTCCTGACAAACAAATTTTACTGCAAAATTTTTAGGGGAATAGTTATATAATTGTATCAATAACTAATTTTAGTGTTATATTTATATTAAAACTCATATGATTATATTAGGAAGGCAAATTTTATATAAATTTTTAAAATTAAAAAATGAGACAAACATATCTTTAGTTGTTCAGTCGACAGCTTCATCTTCTGCCTATTCTTAGACATTTTTGTTTCAATGAAAAAGTTTGCATAGGGTACCTCTAGGTTATTTTCCTCTGTTGCAATTACTCTATTAGAATCAAAACCATCAGAAAATATGGCTTGTGATAATTTTTAATCCACAGACCTGAATCTCAGAGACTTTCATAGCCTCCCCCACTTCTTCCACTCACTCTTATGGGACTAAAGTGCACAAATACAGTCATGACCATTATGCCTGTAAGCAGTGTGAGAAGATGATTTAATGAACCATTTGTCATCACTTATTAATATGTTATTAAATCTGCTCTAGAGTTTTATCAGAAACTTTGTCATGATAAACTAAATAAAATAATTTAGATATGTGTGATCCTCCTCCTTTATATGATCTGCTTCACTTATTTTGCTTGTGATTTAATCAAAAAGCTCTAGACTGCATTGCTGGACATTTTCCATAGCCGTCCAAGTCCATTTCTTTGCAATGAAACTTTTGCAAATCTCAGTTCTTTAAGAAAGAAGTAACACCAGTGCTACAAGCTCTACAGATTTGTAATGTTTAAAAATGTAATCATATGAGCTAAAGCATGCCAGAAGATAGTACAGAAAAGGGAAACAGAAAATTATAAAACTTTCATGTTAATATCACCCTTAGGCTGGTTGTAAAGGGAAAAGAGAAATAGCACAAACTATGTACTACACATAGCCAAAACGGGATAATATAAGTTAAAGACATTAATAAGTCTTTTCTTCTTAAAATGTACTTGTAGCCAAGTTTCAATGCATGAATCTTTGAAGAATATAACTTCCCACAAATTACTGATTTTCAAAAGTGCATTATTAAGGAATTATCTAAAAGATCTTTTTAAAAAATATGGGTACATAGTAGGTATATATATTTATGAGTTACATGAACTATTTTGATACAGGCATGCAATGTGTAATAATCACATGAACGTAAATGGGGTCTCCATTTTCTCAAGCACTTATCCTTTGTGTTACAAACAATCCAATTATACTCTTTCAGGTATTTTTAAATGTACAATTAAATTACTTTTGGCTATAGTCACCCTGTTGTGCTAGCAAATAAAACGTCTTCTTGATTCTTTCTATTTTTTTGGAACCATTAATCACCTCCACCTTTCCTCCAACCCCCATTCTCACTACTCTTCCCAGTCTCTGGTAACCATTGTTTTACTATTTCCATGGGCTCAATTTTTTTTTTTTTTTTAGATTTTTAGCTTCCACAAATAATTGTGAACATGTGATGTTTGTCCTTCTGTGCCTGGCTTACTTCACTTAACACCATGACCTTCAGTTTCATCCATGTTGTTGCAAATGACAGGATCTCTTTCTTTTTTATGGCTAAATAGTACTCCATTGTGTATATGTACCACATTTTCTTTATTCATTCATCTGTTGATGGACACTCAGGTTGCACCAAAATCTTGGCTATTGTGAATAATGCTGCAATAAACGTGGGAGTGCAAGTATCTATTAGATATACTGATTTTCTTTCTTTAGAGTAAATACCTAGCTGTGGGATTGCTGGATCACATGGTAGCTCTATTTTTAATTTTTTTGAGGAACCTCCAAACTGTTCTCTGTAGTTATTGTGCTAATTTACATTCTTACCAACAGTGTACCAGGGTTCTTTTTTTCTCCACATCCTTGCCAGCATTTGTTACTGCCTGTCTTTTCGATAAAAGCCATTTTAACTAGGGCGAGATGATATCTCCTTGTAGTTTTGATTTGCATTTATCTAATGGTCAGTGATGCTGAGCACCTTTTCATACACCTGTTCACCATTTGTATGTCTTCTTTTTAAATGTCTATTCAGATCTTTTGCTCATTTTTAAACTAGGTTATTAGATTTTTTTCATATAAAATTGTTGGAGCTCCTTATATATTCTGGTTACTAAACCCTTGTCAGATAGATACTTTGCAAATATTTTATCTTCTTCTGTAGGTCTTCTCTTCACTTTGTTGATTGTTTCCTTTGCTGTGCAGAACTTTTTAGCTTGATGTGATCCCATTTGTCCATTTTTTATTTGCTCACCTGTGCTTGTAGGATACTACTTAAGAAATCTTTGCCTAGTCCAATGTCCTGGAGAGTTTCCCCAATGTTTCCTTGTAGTAGTTTCATAGGTTTAGGTCATAGATTTAAGTCTTGAATCCATTTTGATTTGGTTTGTGTGTAGGGTGAGAGATGGGGGTCTAGTTTCTTTCTTCTGCATATAAATATCCAATTTTCCCACCACAATATTTTGAAGAGACCACCCTTTCCCCAGTGTATGTTCTTGGCACCCTTATCAAAAGTGAGTTTATTACAGATGTATGGACTTATTTCTGGGTCCTCTATTCTATTCCACTGGTCTATGTGTCTGTTTTTATGCCAGTACCATGCCAGTATACTATAACTCTCTAGTATAATTTGAAGACAGGTAATATGATTCCTCCAGTTTTATTCTTTTTGTTTAGGACATCTTTGACGACTCTGGGTCTTGTGTGATTCTATGTAAATTTTGGGACTTTTTTCTATTTCTGTGAAGTATGTCATTGGTATTTTGGTCAGAATTAAATTAAATCTGTAGATTGATTCTTCCAATTCATGAACATAGAATGTCTTTCCGATTTTTGTGTGTCCTCTTCAGTTGTTTTCATCAATGTTTTATAGTTTTCATTGTAGAGATATTTCATTTCTTTGGTTAATTTCAAGGTATTTTATTTTATTTTATTTGTAGCTATTTTAAATGGAATTACTTTTTTTATTTCTTTTTTAGATTGTTCACTCTTAGCATATAGAAATGCTACTGATTTTTGTATGTTGATTTTTGTATCCTGCAACTTTACTGAATTTGTTTTATCAGTTCTAGTAGTTTTTTTGGTGGAGTGTTTAGGTTTTTCCAATTATAAAATCATGTCATCTGCAAACAAGGATAATTTAACTTCTTTCTTTCCAATTTAGATGTCCTTTATTTCTCCTCTTGTCTGATTGCTCTAGCTAGGACTTCCAATACTATGTTGAATAACAGTGGTGACAGTGGGCATCCTTGTAGTGTTCCAGATCTTAGAGGAAAAGCTTTCAGTTTTTCCCCATTCAGTATTTGTCCCCATTCAGTATTTGTCTAAAGAAATTTTAGAGAATGTAATATTGTCACCTGGTTTTATAAAACTAGAATGGCATCATTACATTGAAGGTAATGAAAAAAATAAACTATAGGATAATCTTCAATTGGTTAATCAATGACTGTTAAAAATGGGGTAAGGAAACTATATTTAAGTAGTACTTATAATAAGTATAGCAGTTATACATAGTATTATATATACTTACATACAGTATTTGTATTTCTATGAGCATACATTTAGAACTTATATGTGTATATAGTACTTACATATAGACTTACACATTACGTTAAGAAGAAACAAGGAAGATATAAAAGTACCTAAGTTGAATTTCCAGACAGGAAAAATATGCCTAAGGAACATATGAAAATTATTTTATAAATTTCTTGGCCTGAAGTATGAAGATTTTGTTGATTTAAAAGGAGATGTCCTTAAAATTATTTAGCCAAAGTATGTTATAAAGACAGATTTTATTTTTCTGTTCTCTACCTTTTCTCCTACCACCCTTCCTTCCCTGCAAAGGAATTGTTTCAGAAGCTGATTAAAACCTCATCTGGGTGAAGGAAAGTCCAGAAGTTCTCTGTGGATTCGCAGTGGGGACCGGTGCTGCCCACAGAGGTTCTCTGGCCTCTGCAGTTAGAGTGTCGCTGGTTGTCTTGCTCACTGCTCATGTTCTGGCATCTCCTTCCCTTGGAAGCATCTATTCACACTGTTTCCCTAGATATATAGTATAATGGCTTCCCAGGAAGATAACTTGTGGGAGACAAGAACAGAAGCATCAAATAATTGTTTTCAAAATACTGTCTCAGTCATGGTAAAATCTGATTGTAGAGTCTCCATAACCAACTCTTTAATTTAGGAGTATGCCAGAAGCAAAGTTTGTAAACTGATCACATAGGAGTCTACCATCTCCGGTGAAGGGCTAGAGCCAAATCTTCCATTTTGCTTCTGGCAGTGTACAAAATGCATCATGTGGGAAAGTCGCGTTGTTGATTATCAAATAGCTACAATCAAATCCTCTGTTAGTTGTAAAGAATGAGATAAAGTAACATTTTGTTTGTTTACTTATCAGAAATACCTTTATCTTGCCAAATAAATATAATTTTGTTTTAATTGGTTTAAATTCAAGTTCATGCTCTTAGCATTGATATTTCCTTGGCTGAAAGATGCCATCTCTTCCAAAGTTCACATGTTACTTTAACAAATAACAGAAGATAATTCTGGAGAATTCTGCCCTAAAATGTGAGATCCCCAGGGACACTGAACTGCATTTTACTTTTAAGTTTTCTTTTAACAGCATCACACATTCTGACCCGAGATTGTCCTATTGAAGTATGTCTAAGAGAAAAATAAATATTTATGCAAATTTTTAGTTATTTACATTTTATGATAGAAATACTTATGGGATAGGCTTTTGAAGAAAGAACTAGTTTGATGCATTTTGGCAACATCAATTGAGATTTGAGTATAATGAACAAGTTTGTCAGTTTAGGAACTGTTTCACATGGGCAAAACAAAGATTATCTTGTATTTTATAGTTAAGTACAAATGACACAGAGAGTTTCTTTATTTCTCATAAGTCAATGATAAACATTAAAGTAGAATTTGGTGTAAATATTTCAAAAGGGTTAATATTGGCCATGAAACAGTTTTTGCATCTCAGAATGTTTTATAAATTAATGCTTTTATGGCTAAATCTCATTAGCTGAAGATTAACTTAAGATTAAAGAAATGACTGATAAATGACCTCTGTTTCACTCAGGCAAATTGTATTCTTCAGACTTAACTATTCATATAGATCATGAAAATGACCATGAAATATACCTAAATGAGCATAAAAATAAAGTTTAAACAAACTATCAGCAAAATAAGTCCCACAAGACTGCTTCCCAAGTAAGTTAAATTCAACTAACATTTATAGAGCACTTACAAATTGCAAAGCATTGTTCAAAATGTACAGAGGACACAGAGATGACAAAAGTATATTTCCTGCCACCAAGACCCTTAGAATCTATTGAGTAAAACAGGCATAGAAATTATTAACTCTAATACAGTGTAAATATAATAAAATTACACAATAAAACTATTTGTTGAGAGCATTATATGTATAAGCTATTTTAATAAGTGTTTCTCATTAGTTAACATACTTGAGCTCCCCAAATCGTAAGAAATATGCACTCCTAGTAATCCTGTTTTCCAGATGGGGATACTGAGGCTTAGAGTTAAATGAACAAAGGTCAGAAAAGTCAGAGGTAGGATCTGAATCGAAGAGAGTTTGTTGTGATATGAACAAACTGCCACAAGAAGCAAGAATAGTAAAAAGAGAAAATAATAGGATCCAGAATCTAAATATACAGATTTGAGTTTAAATTGTGTCTTTGTTTTTAACTAGCTGCATGGACTGAGTAAATCCTCAAACATGTCTTTCCAAGCCTTACTGTCTATAATTTTGAAGTGGTGGTTATATTCATCGTTATATAGGGCTATTGTGGGGCTTATATGGTTATTTATAACCAACCAAGTTTAGCATACTACACATGGCCCCTCCCCCAAAATTATAATCATTTTTCTTTTAAAAATGGTCTTACATCAGTTAGAAATGGAAATAATCTCAAAATAACAGTGGCTCAAACACTCAAATGGTCATTTTCTTACAGAAAAGAAGACAAGGGTTAGGAAGTCCAGGATTGGTGTGGCAGCTCCATGAAGTCACTAGATGCCCAGACTCCTCTATCTTTCTCCTCTGCCATTTTTGGTGTGTTGTTTCCATACTCAAGATAACCACATGTTCTAGGGTGGATGCTGGAGTTTCAACCATCTCACCCACATTCCAGAGAGCAAAAAGAATAGAAGTCAAAATGAGTTTGTTTCTAAGTGTCTTTTAAAGGGCCTTCTTCAAGTCTCTCACAACACATCTACCCTCACAGGTCTAAATGGTTAGGTACAACAGCCCTGAGCAGCCTTGGAATTGTTATCTTTATTCCAAGTGGCCCTATGGCCAGCTAAAAATTGGCATTCTATTAGTAAGGTGGAAGATAAGGAGTACTGGATTGGCAATTGGTACTCTGTATCATGACTTTGATAAGAACATGTTAACCAAAGATAAAATAAAAGATTGAGAAAAGAAAACACTAGATCCAATTATTTCTTTCTTATATGAGAACACACTAACACACCCTCATGCAAAGAAAAGAGTGTGCTATCTTATAGTCATGGAAAATAGAGAAGTCACGGAGCCTGACATTGACCTTTGTATAAACAAATTATAACACCTGCCCCCCAAAGATGGCATCAGAGATAGAATTTCCTCATGGAATACGATAGTTGACATTCCCACAACATTGACTAAGTGAATTGGGTGACAGTTAGTTTTGGAGTATACTTTTTAAGCAATTACAGAAAAGAAAGTAAAATGAGAGTGAGTCAGCAGGTTTTCAGTGGCCAACTCGGGTGGAATTAAACACAAAAAGGAGAAAACTTCTGCATTCTATTTGCTGTAGTTAATTGTTTTCTCACTCTTAACACTCTTGCCTGTTCAACCTAGGTGTTGCATGCTCTAATAAAATTGAAAAATAAGCTGACACGTTCACCTTAAGGAAAAGGGGAAGGGAGGTGGGAAGGAGAGGGAAAGGAAGGGAAATGATCATTTGCAGGCATTATCATTCAAGGCTTTCAACTAAGCCTCTTCCCTGGGAAGCATCAGAGGTCATTTCAGGGAGCCGCTACAGGGGGAACACACAGGACAGGAAGGTCTGCGTGGAAGTCTCACTTAGCCTACAATCCACCACTTCCATTCTCACCCCCACCTCCCAACCTTTGCGGCCGCCTTGGCCACTGCAAGGAAATAGGGTGTTCTCTACATAAAGGGGTTCTCAAAACTCAGAGATTCTGGCTGACAGTACTGGGCTCATGTCTGAACTCCATGACAGGCTGGCTGTGCAGCTTTTTGGCACAGTTAGTTATACATTTTAAGCCTTGTTCTAATCATCTGTAAAGCAGGGATGTTCATATCTGTAGTACTTGCCTCATGGAGTTGTTCTGAGGAGTAAGAGCTTGGTAGAGTACTTCATAATTAGCTAACACGCAATAAATATTAGCTATTCTGCACTTTGGAGTCAGCTTGGTGTACCATGGAATCTATGTCCTAGCTAAGCAAATTAACCTGCTAGGTCTCAGTTTCCTGAGGATCTGGCACCTTACAGGTTCTCAATAAAAATGTTAAGTGTTTTGTGATAATTATTACATGTATTTTATTTTGAAATATAAAATACATATGTAAAGCAAAATGAAAAATTATCTATATATAATATTTATAAAGCCAAATGCTTTATCTTTCTTCTTGTGTACAGAGAACTACCAATTGCAATAGAATTATTAAAACAGCCTGAGAGCTTTTTAAATTTATATTTTGTCTTTTGATTGTTCTGTTTTCTCTGTATTATCCAAAGAAAGGCAATTGAATTTTTTTCATTATGAGTTCTGAAAGTTTTCTGTTACTTATTATTTAACTGCCAGTGTACTTTATTGCAATATGCCAGTGAACTCACTTGATATACATCCTTCTGGCCTTCATCCCCTCTCAAGTGATGATATAATAAGATATATTATTTAGAGGGCAGATATAGATTTGACTTAGTCATAAACCAGTGTAACATAAGGTTCCTGACTTTTAGATCTGACACAAAATGCTCTCTTTTAGTGGTAGTACAGAATGTTGAAGTAAGGCTGGATATGTAAGCTTACATTTTTATTTCATTAGAGAATGCAAAACTCATTGTATTTAACTGACAGTCTCAAAACTTCTCTGCCAAATCTTAAAGTCTCTAGACTTCTGAATTCCAGAAATGAGTTCACTGACCTAAATATTTGGAAAGGGAGGAAAATGCGTTTTCCCAAAAAGGAAATAAATCTACCAAAGTAAAATTAGGGAGGGAGAGACATTCTCCTTGGAATAAGCATGTTTGGATTTATATACAGTGCATTAGTAGATGATGTATTTTGGTGCATTGTGATAATCAGAAAAGTTACAGTATGTCCAGGACTCTGTACACAATAGTGTTAAGCAGTTGTTTCTAGGAACAAGGTCATTTAGCTAAGTGGTGTTGGCTATTGATACCACTGCTTTTTTTTTCATGTGGGCAAAGCATCAACTGTTTCAAGACCAATGGCACATTTTCATGATAAAGAGCTAGGTATTAGGGAATTGTTTGAATTATTTTGCAGATTAATTGTAAATCCAGAGTTTGATAACTTAGTCAATACCAGGAAAAGTCTACTATATTTAGGATTGGGGTTTCAAGGTAAGACTCTTTTCTACGCATTAAGTCTGAAAACCTGTAGCCACCAAGTGACAGGTGATATCTTCCAGTAGTGCTACTTTCTCACTACTGTTTTAGGTTACCTCGACACAAGAAGATATTGTTCCTATAGCTTCAGCTCCAAAATAATATGTGCTAGAATTACTGGGATGCAAGTAATACTCACATCCCATAGACCTCTTCAACCTCACTATTTAATAGACATTCAGAATATAAGCATTGCAAATGGAACACAGTAACCTGAAACATATCAGCTTTGGTTTTCAAATCTCAATACTATCGCTGATAATGGGTTTTTACCATTCCCTAACCAAGCACTTGCTTCCTTTCCCCAAGAAAGATATTCCGAGTTTATACAAATAAATACTGTGACATTACTGGTATAATAGAATAAACACTAGGTTTGAGTTAAACATGTCAGGTCGAATTCTGCTTTTAGCTATTACAGGATTTGTAACCTTGGGTTAGGCTTTTAGTTTCAGTTCTTTGTTGATTAATACATTTATTCATTGAATGATTAATACATTTATTCATTGAATGATTAATACACTCCAATGACTGCTCTAGGCAGTAAAGAAGATAAGAAACAAATTCTTGCTCCTTTAGAGCTTATAACTCCAAAGAAAGGAAGACAGTTAAGAAATACAACATAAAGTTGTGATAAATTCCACGAGTAAAAATAAGGCATTGAAACATTGGACTTAAACTTTATTTAGACCAAATTGACCTAACAGATATATGCAGAATATTCTATTCAACAGCAACAGAATACACATTCTTCTCAAGTGTACATAAGACATTCTCCAGGATAGGTTATGTTAGGCCACAAAACAAGCTTAACAAATCTAAGAAAGTTGAAATCATATCAATTATCTTTTCCAATCACAAGGGGATAAAACTGAAAATCAGTAACAGGAAGAAATTTGAGAAGTTCACAAATATAAGAAAATAAACAACATGTTCCTAAACAACCAATGAATCAATGAAGAAGTTAGAAGAAAAATGTAAAGTATCTTGAAACAAATGAATATAGAAACATGCTAAAACTTAAGAGATGCAGCAAAAACAGTTCTTAGAGGGAAGTTTATAACAATATATGCCTACATCAAAAAAGAAAAAGATCCAAAATAAAGAGCCTAATGTCACCCTCAAGGAACTAGAAAAACAAGGGCAAACTAAGCCCAAAGTTAGCAGAAGAAAGGAAATAATAAAGACCAGAGCAGAAATAAATTAAATAGACTAGAAAAGCAACAGAAAGAACAACTAACAGGTGATATTTTTGAAAAGATTAAGTCAACAAATCTTTAGTTAGACTACGAAAAAAGATACAAGACTAATAAAATCAGAAATGAAAAAGGAGATATTGCAACTGATATCACAGAGACACAAAGAATCATAAGACTACTATAAACAATTACATGCCAACAAGTTCAATAACCTAGAAGAAATCAATATATTCCTAGATACGTTAAGACCTATGAAGACTGAATCATGAAGAAATAGAAAACCTGAACAGACCAATAAAGATTAAAGAGATTGAATCAGTAAAAAAGAAGCCTCCCACTATAAAAAAAAAAAAAAGCACAGGACCTGAAGCCTTCATGTTTAATTCTACTAAATATTTAAAGAAGAACTAATATCAATTCTTCTCAAATGCCTCCAAAAAATTGAAGAAGTAATACTTCCATCTTCATTTTAAGAGACTAGTATTACCCTGATGCCAAATAGAAACAAATACACTGTAATAAAAGAAAATTACAGGCCAATATCCCTGATGGATATAGATGCAAAAATCCATACCAGAATGGTAACAAACTGAACTCAACTACATACTAAAAGAATTATTTACCATGATCAAGTGGGATTTTTCCAAGGAATTCAAGGATGGTTCAACATACACAAATATATAAATATACCACACTAACAGCATGAAAAACAAAAACCATATGAAAAACAAAAACCATATGATCATCTCAATCGATGCACAGAAATATTTTTTTCTTCTTTTTTTTATTATACTTTAAGTTCTAGGGTACATGTTCACAACATGCAGTTTTGTTACATAGGTATACATGTGTCATGTTGGTTTGCTGTACCCATTAGCTCGTCATTTACATTAGGCATTTCTCCTAATGCTATCTCTCCCCCTGTCCCCCACCCCATGACAGGCTCCAGGGTGTGATGTTCCCCGCCCTGTGTCCAAGTGTTCTCATTGTTCAATTCCCACCTATCAGTGAGAACATGCAGTGTTTGGTTTTCTGTCCTTGTGATAGTTTGCTCAGAATGATGGTTTCCAGCTGCATCCATGTCCCTGCAAAGGACATGAACTCATCCTTTTTTATGGCTGCATAGCATTCCATGGTGTATATGGATACACAGAAATATTTTACAAAATTTAACCTCCTTTAAATTTAAAAAACTCTCAACAAATTAGATATAGAAGAAATGTGCCTTAACACAATAAAGATCATATATGTCAAGCCCACAGCAAATATTATACTCAATGGTGAAAAGCGGAAAGCTTTTCTTCTAAGACCAGAAAAATACAAGATGCCACTCTTGCCACTTCTATTCAATATGGTACTGGAAGTCCTAGCCAGAACAATTAAGGCAAGGGAAAGAAATACAATGCATTTAAATTGGAAAAGAAGAAGTTAAATTGTCTGTTTGCAGACAACATGATCTTATATACAGAAACCTAAGGACTCTACTAAAAAAAAAAACTGTTAGAACTAATAAATGAATTCAGTAGAGTTGTGAGATATATAAAATCAACATACAAAAATCAATAGCATTGCTATACACCAACAATGAACTACCCAAAAAGGAAATAAAGAAAACAATCCCATTTATAATAGCTACAAAAATAAAATAAAATACTTAAGAATACCTTTAACTAATGTTAAATGTGAAAGACCTTACACTGTAAAACACTGATGAAGGGAATTGAAGAAGACACAAATAAATGGAAAGATATACCATGTTCACAAATTAGAAAAATTAATGTTATTAAAATGTGCTACTACCTAAAGTAACCTACACAGTCAATACATTTCCTATCAAAATTTTAAAGACATGTTTCTGAAATAGAAAAGGCCATTCTAAAATTTGTATGAAGTCCCCCAAAAACCTGTAAATAGGCAAATCAATCTCCAGCAAAGAGAACAAAGCTGAAGGTATCACAGTACCTAATGTCAAAATATACTACAAAGCTATAGTAATCAAAACAGCATGGTATTGGTAGAGAAATGAGACCAATAGAACAGAATAGAGATCCCAGAAAGAAATCCATGCCTGTATGCTTGACTAATGTTTGGCAAAGGTGCCAAAAACACATAATGTGGACAGGACAATTTCTTTAATAAATGGAATTAAGAAAACTGGATATCCATTTGCATAAGAATGAAATTGAATCCTTATTTTATATAATATACAGAAATCAAATCAAAATGGATTAGTAACTTAAATGTAATTCAATCCTTATTTTATATAATGTGCAGAAATCAAACCAAAATGGATTAGAGAATTAAATGTAAGTCCTGAAACTACTAGAAGAAAACTACCAGATGAAAATGTAGGAGAATAGCCAAGCACAGTGGTACATGCCTATAATTCTAGCTACTTGGGAGAATGAGGCAGGAGGATCTCTTGAGCCCAGGATTTCAAGGCTGTAGTACATCATGATTGCACCTGTCAATAGCCACTGAACTACTGAAGCCTGGGCATCAGAGAAGGATCATGTCTCTAAAAAAATAAAGAAGAAGAAGAAAAAGAAAGAAAGAAAATATGGGGGGAAAGTCCACGACATTGGTCTGGACAATGATTTTTGGTATATGACTTCAAAAGCACAGTCAGCTAAAGCAAAAATAGACAAATGGAATTACATCGAACAAAAAGCTTCTTCATAGCTGAAAAAAAACAATCCACAGAGTGAAGAGACAACCTATGGAACAGGAGAAAATATTTGCAAACTATACATATGATAAGGGATTAATATCCAAAATATTTAAGAACCTCAAACAACTCAATAGTAATACAACAAATAACCTGATTTTAGAATGGACACAGGAAGGGGAACATCACACACCAGGGACTGTTGTGGGGTGGGGGAGGGGGGAGGGATAGCATTAGGAGATATACCTAATGCTAAATGACGAGTTAATGGGTGCAGCACACCAACATTGCACATGTATACATATGTAACAAACCTGCAAGTTGTGCACATGTACCCTAAAACTTAGAGTATAATAATAATTTTTAAAAAAATAGGAAAAAAAAAGAATGGACAAAGGATCTGAATAGACATTTCTCAAAAGAAGACACACAAATGGCCAACAGGTAAATGAAAAAATGCTTAACATCACTAATCATCAAGGAAATGTAAAGTAAACCACAATGAGATATCACCTCATGCTTGTTAGAATGGCTATCATCAAAAAACAAAAGATAGCAAGTGTTGAAGAAATTGTGGAGAAAAGGGAACCCTTAATTAGTAAAGTCTTTATGGAAAACAGTATTGAAGTTCTTCAGAAAACTAAAAACAGAACTGCCATCTGATCCAGAAATCCCATCACCTAGTATAATATTCAAAGAAAATGTAATCAGTATGCCAAAAATGTATCTTCACTCTTATGTCATTGCAGCATTATTCATAATAACCAAGACATGTAATCATCTTAAATGTCCATCAATGTGGTAAGAAAATGTGGTATATATACATGATGCAATACCACTCAGCCTCAAAATCAAAGAAATACTCTCATTTTTGACAGCATGGATGAAACTGAAGGATATTCTATTAAGTGAAATAATCCAGACAGAAAAAACAATTACTACAATGATCTCTCTTACATGTGGAATCTAAAAAAGTTGAACTTGTAGAAGTAGAGAGTAAAATAGTGGTTACCAAAGATTGAAGGGAGGGAGCAGGGTTGGGGAAATGTTTATTTAAAATACAAAATTTCAATGGCTAGGAGGAATAAGTTTGAGAGGTCTATTGTACATATTTCAAAACATTATGCTGTACATTATAATATATAATTTTTATTTGAAAAGAGCCTACACAGTACACTTTAAAAATAAAATTAAAATATAGCAATGTAAGGAGTCTAGTGTTGTGGAGGGTGATATTTTTGACAGAGTGATAAATAAAAGCTTTTCTGAGACCTAAAAGAAGTTAGGGAGTGAAGAGACGCATGTCTAGGGGAAGAATATTTTAGGAACAGAGAACTGCAGGATATGCATCCACTTTTAAGGAAAAGCAAGAAGTCTCATGTGATGAGGTAGAGTGGAGGGTTGCCATAGGCATGAGATTGGAGAGTGGACCTAGTGTCAGATCAAGTGGGACTATGGGGCAATGTCAGAAATTTGGATTTATTTCAAATATGATGGAATTCGAGTGACCTTTGGTAAAAGATCACTTTGAATGCTGTAGGGAGAGTGGACTGTTGGGGTTCATAGTAGAAACGAGGGGTAGGAATTTAGAAAACAAAACGTGGAAACGTGCTGCATACTTCCGTCGACCTAAAATTTGTTAGAGCTAAAGGTAAAGTACAGGTTGAAGCAAGGAATAGTTTCTTCGTCAGTGAACTTAGCTATCATCAAACACTTGTATGTACTCTCTTTTACAATGCTGTCCCAGGAATTTCTACTCTTGGGTTTCAGTAGCTTATCCAAAGAAAATGTTAAATACCTCCTGCAGGCTGGTCTTATAATCTTGGCAGTGCTCTGCCCCGTCCCTGCCAGAAAATGACTCTAAATGGTTTCTGTAAGTGAGTATTATCCCTGAAAATTCTGCACTCTGCGCCTTGCTAGGTTTTATCTTTGGTCAAAACTTGCTTCTGCAACACTCAAGTGCAGCATATGGCAGAACCAGAAGGAATTAGCTCTGTTAAGACAAAACATTGTACAGGATACTGCACAATATTTTGCCTATTTTAACAACAGATTCTTGACTCCATTTTCCAGTTTGCATAAATATTGTCCAAATATGTTAATAATCCCAAGAGAAATTCTTTTAGAAACTATTAATTTCAATTCCATAGGAAACACAGAAATTGCTTTTCTCTTAGTTTAAAATTAAGCTAACCTAAAAATATAACAGATTAGACAGTTCCTTCTGATCACCTCTCCTAGTCTTTGTCTCTCTTCTGGGTTAACCACAAATAAGAATTTGGTATGTATCCTTTCAGAATTTTTTCTATTCATGCATATCAGGCCATATGGTGTAATTTAGTGTTTATTTTTCTTTTTACACATTTACACTTATTTTATATTTGTGAATATTTTCTTTTGCATATTTATAGAAAAGTATTACTCTATGTCATGGTGCTAATTGGAATGTAGTTCTAACAATTCATCTAGTAGAACTTTCTAGAAATAAATGACATAAGTAAATACTCTACTGGTAAGATTATAAATTGGTTCTACTTTGTGATGAATTTGACACTGTCTGTGACAATGTCTGATTAAATTTAAAATACAAATAACATAGGATCTAGCAATTTTATTTTGGCTGTCTATTATCTTACTCTTTTTAAGTGCTGCAGTGCATTCTGCAGCATTAATATGTCAAAACTTGTTTAACAATTCCCATTTTTATAGCAATTAAAGTTTCTCTATTTTTTTTAAAGCCAAGACTGCAATAAACATCTTTTATATACTTCCTTTTACTTGAAAACATCACATGTATTGCTCTAGAATAGATAGCCAAAATATAACTACTAGGTCATATGCTTTTTGCATTTTAAATTTAACTAGATAGTATCAAATTTATCACAAAGTAGAATTAATTTATGGTCTTATCAACAGAGTACTTAGCTATACAATGGCCAAGCCATGATTATTATTATTGTTGTTTTGCCATTCTAGCAGGTGAAAAATGATGAAAAGTACTACTAGTAGATGAAAAGAACTCATTCCTCATTGGTGAAAAGGGCTCTCATATTTGGTTTAACTAGTTTCACTATTCCCAGAAAACTTGACTAGCTTTCTATATTTTTATTGACCATTGGTAATTTTATTTCTGTCAATTATCTGTTTAATTATGTAACAATTTTTCTATTGTTATTGGCTTTTTTCTTATACATTTGTAGAAGTTATTTATATTTTTGAATATTCTTTGTCTCATATATTCTGCTAGTTGATGTTTCTTTTTAATGGTTTTAGTGTATCTTTTGTCATATAAAACTTAAAATTTTGTTATTGTCGAATTTACTTTTTTCTTTTTGTGGTTCTCCTGTTGTAACTTTGTTTTTTGTTTCTTATTTTAAAAGGCAATCCCTACCCCAATTAATATGTACATGTTTCGATGTTTGCTTCTTAGATTTGTCAGTTTATCTGCTTACATTTAAATATTTAAGCCATTTTTATGTGCTTTTATTAATAGTGAGGAGTAAGGATCTAAAAGTAGTTTTACTTTTTATTTTTAATTAATTAATTTTTAAATTTTACTTTAAGTTCTGGGATACATGTGCAGAACATGCAGGTTTGTTACATAGGTATACATGTGCCATGGTGGTTTGCTGTACCTATCAACCCATCATCTAGATTTTAACACCTGCATGCATTAGGTATTTATCCTGATGCTCTCCCCCACCTTTCCCCTCAACCACTGAAGGCCCTGGTGTATAATGTTCCCCTCCCTGTGTCCATGTGTTCTCATTGTTCAACTCCTACTTATGAGTGAGAACATGTGGTGTTTGGTTTTCTGTTCCTGTGTTAGTTTGCTGAGGATAATGGTTTCCAGCATCATCCATGTCCATGCAAAGAACATGAATTTATTCTTTTTTTATGGCTGCATAGTATTCCATGGTGTATATGTGCCACATTTTCTTTATCCAGTCTATCATTGATGGGCATTTGGGTTGGTTCCAAGCCTTTGCTATTGTAAATAGTGTTGCAATAAACACACGTGTGCATTTGTCTTTATAGTAGAACTATTTATAATCCTTTGGGTATATACATAGTAATGGGATTGTGGGGTCAAAAGGTATTTCTGGTTCTAGATCCTTGAGGAATCACCACACCGTCTTTCACAATGGTTGAACTAATTTACACTCCCACCAGCAGTGTAAAAGTGTTCCTATTTCTCCACAGTTGCACCAGCATCTGTTGTTTCCTGACTTTTAATGATTGCCATTCTAACTGGCATGAAATGGTATTTCATTGTGGTTTTGATTTGCATTTGTCTAATGACCAGTGATAATGAACTTTTTTTCATGTGTTGGCTGGCCACATAAATGTCTTCTTTTGAGAAGTTCCTGTTCTTGTCCTTTGCCCAATTTTTGATGGGGTTGTTTGTTTTTTCTTATAAATTTGTTTAAGTTCCTTGTAGATTCTGGACATTAGCCCTTTGTCAGATGGATAGATTGCAAAAATTGTCTCCCATTCTGTAGGTTGCCTGTTTACTCTGATGATAGTTTCTTTTGCTGAGCAGAAGCTCTTTAGTTTAATTAGATCCCATTTGTCAATTTTGGCTGTTGATGCAATTGCTTTTGGTGTTTTAGTCATGAAATCTTTGCCCGTGCCTATGTCCTGAATTGTATTGCCTAGGTTTCCTTCTAGGGTTTTTATGGTTTTAGGTTTTATGCTGAAGTCTTTAATCCATCTTAATTTTTGTATATGGTGTAAGGAAGGGGTCCAGTTTGAGTTTTCTGCATATGGCTAGCCAGTTTTCCCAGCATCATTTATTAAATAGGGAATCCTTTTCCTATTGCTTGTTTTGGTCAGGTTTGTCGAAGGTCAGATGGTTGTAGATGTGTGGTGTAATTTCTGAGGCCTCTGTTCTGTTCCATTAATGTATATATCTGAGGAGCTGGTATCATTCCTTCTGAAACTATTCCAAACAATAAAAAGAGAGGGACTCCTCCCTAACTCATTTTATGAGGCCAGCATCATCCTGATTCCAAAACCTGGCAGAGACACAACAAAAAAGAAAATTTCAGGCCAGTGTCCCTGATGAACATCGATGCAAAAATCCTCAATAAAATACTGGCAAACCGAATCCAGCAGCACATCAAAAAGCTTATCTGCCACGATAATGTCAGCATCCGAGATGCAAGCCTGGTTCAACATATGCAAATCAGTAAACGTAATCCATCATATAAACATAACCAATGGCAAAAACCACATGATTATCTCAATAGATGCAGAAAAGGCCTTCGACAAAATTAAACACCTTTTCATGCTAAAAACTCTCAATAAACTAGGTATTGATTGAACATATCTCAAAATAATAAGAGCTATTTATGACAAACACATAGCCAATATCATACTGAACACGCAAAATCTGGAAGCATTCCCTTTGAAAACCGGCAGAAGACAAGAATGTCCTCTCTCACCACTGCTATTCAACGTAGTATTGGAAGTTCTGGACAGGGCAATCAGGCAAGAGAAAAAAATAAAGGTATTCAAATAGGAATAGAGGAAGTCAAATTGTCTCTTTTTGCAGATGACATGATTGCATATTTAGAAAACCCTATCATCTCAGCCCCAAACTCCTTAAGCTGATAGGCAACTTCAGCAAACTCTCAGGATACAAAATCAATGTGCAAAAATCACAAGCATTCCTATACACCAATAATAGACAAGCAGAGAGCCAAATCATGAGTAAACTCCCATTCACAATTGCTACAAAGAAAATAAAACACCAGGAATACAACTCAAAAGGAATGTGAAGGACTCCTTCAAGGAGAACTACAAACCACTACTCAAGGAAATCAGAGAGGATACAAACAAATGGGAAAAAATTTCTTGCTCATGGATAGAAATAATCAATACTGTGAAAATGGCCATACCACCCAAAGTAATTTATAGATTCAATGCTATTCCCATCAAGCTACCATTGACTTTCTTCATGGAACTAGAAAAAACTACTTTAAATTTCACATGAAACAAAAATAGAGCCTGTATAAATAAGACAATCCTAAGCAAAAAGAACAAAGCTGGAGGCATCACGCTACCTGACTTCAAACTATACTACAAGCTACAGTAAATAAAAGTCGTTTTTCAAATGGAAAGCTCGTTGTCTCAAAACTGTTCATTGAATGGTGCATGCCTTCTATCCAGATTAAAAATTTCACCTTGATTACACCCTAGATTTCCATATATACATGGATCTCTTTTCAGACTTCATTTTCTCCATTGATGTAATCACTTTCTAGTTCTCCCTTTATTTTTTTTAACTTTAAACTTCATGTATACAACTGTGGTAGTATGCTTTGTGTTGCAAGTAGTGGAAAACTCAATGGAAACAGATAAACAATTAGAGGAATTATTGACTAGCTACTGAAATTCAATAGTAGGATCAGATTCAGTATGGATTTAGTCTAGTGCCTCATGTGATATGACCAGGACATAGCTTATTAGTTGCAAAACAGCTTTTCTCTCCCTGTTTTAAAGCTTTGCTTCATTAGCCGTGACTCCAACCTTGGAAGCTCCACTGCCATGTTGCAGGAAGGTGATAAACAAAATCCTGTGTCCAGGATAATTCTCTGAAATTTACTTTGATTAAATCAGCTTTTGCCTAGATTACATGCCCATTCCTGAACTAAACTTCATGATCAGGACTGTGGGAAATTTCAAATGAAGATTACAAATGGGACAAAGAGTAGGTATCCATCCCAAATCCAGGATTTTCTTCTTGAGCAACTGGATGGAATGGTGGTACTATTTTCAAATACAGGAAAGACTCAAGGAAGAAAGTGTTGGAATTGGGGGTAGTGAAAGATTAGGAGTTTATTTCAGATAATTAATGTGAAATGCTTGTGAGTCATATTTAAACAGATATATTGAGTGGGCAGTTGGATATATGAGTCCAAAATTTAGGGGGAAATTTTGGGCTAGAGATATAAATATGGGACTCATCCTAGTTTTCTATTTAATAGATGAAATATAAAGCTATGTGTATTAGTCCACTCTCATGCTGCTATGAAGAAATACCTGAGATTGGGTAATTTATAAAGAAAGAGGTTTAATTGACTCTCAGTTCTGAATGGCTGGGGAGGCCTCAGGAAACTCACAATCATGGCAGAAGGCACCTCTTTGCAGGGCGTCAGGAGAGAGAATGAGAACCAAGTGAAGGGGGAAGCCTCTTATAAAACCATCAGATCTCATGAGAACTCACTATCACAGCACAGAGGAAACTGCCCTCATGACTCAATTATCTCCACCTGGTCCCACCCTTGACACAAGGAGATTATTACAATTCAAGGTGAGATTTGGGTGGTGACACAATGCCAACGATATGACTATGGAAACAAATAAAATCTTCTTGGAAGATAATTTAGAGAGAAATCAAAAGAGGCCTAAGAATTGCCTTTTAGGAACTCCAATGTTTACATGTTGGAGAGAGGGAGAAACATGCTGTATAACAGCCTGATAATATGTCCCCTGTGAAACAGCAGGTAACGTGAGTGTGATTCCAAGGTCTTAGAACAGGTCATTATGTAAGATAGGAAATCTAAAACATGAGTGGATATTCATGAAGTATCTAGACAAAAGGAGAAAATAATACTTAATTAATTCATATGTAGACATAGATATACATACCCAAGTTCACAATAAAAGTATGTTAGAAGGCATGTAGATGCATTTGGTGATTGATGTGGTTTGACTGTGTGTCCCCACCAAATCTCATGTTGAATTGTACTCTCCAGTATTGGAGGTGGGACCCGGTAGGAGGTGATTGGATCACTGGGGTAGTCCTTCATGAATGGCTTAGCACGATCCCCTCGGTGATAGTGTGTGAGTGAGTTATAGTGAGCTCTGGTTGTTTAAAAGTGTGTAGTGTGCAGCTCCCTCATCTCTCTCTCTTGCTCCTGCTCTGGCCATTTAAGATGAGCCTGTTTCCCCTTCACCTTCTGCCATGATTGTAAGTTTCCTGAGGCCTTCTCAAAAGCCAAGCAGATGACCAGCATCATGCTTCCTGTACAGCCTGTGGAACTATGAACTAATAAAACCTCTTTTTTGACAAATTACCCAGTCTCAGGTATTTCTTTACAGCAATGCAAGAATAGACTAATACAGCGATGCAGGATAATTTTGGAATTAGATAGACCAGTAACTGTCTACCCTGACCAAGTTGCTCCATGTCTGGAAGCTCTAATTTTATCTCATGTTAAATGGGATGAATATGCCTCATAAACTTACTGTAAAGATTGATTATAAGATATAGGTGAGTCCCAAATAAGTTTTTTTTTATTTTTTATTTTTTTCATTAAAATTGAAAAATTAGGGAAAAGGGGGTTACCCACGGTGTGTGAGGAATAGTTCAGCATATCTATGTCTAAACTGGGTTGACTGGGAGGCTGAGAGTTTTCTAATCCCCACAGTAGAGCTTCATTAAGGGTGTGTCTTGTCAGAAGCTGACATGACAGAAAGGACATGGCTTGGCCTGGCTGTTTCTCCTTGGCCTTCTGATGTCTTTGCTCCTCTTGTTCCTCCCACACATATACTAGCTACAGAAAGTCATTTCCCATTTCAATGTCAACTCCTTCCTTTTGATCACCTCTAAGAAAGTACAGTGTTTACTCCTAAGTGATGTCTTCTACATCTTAAGTATGTACATCTGAGTTTCTCTGGACTCCAGGTCATTTAGGAATTGCCCTCTCCAGTTCTCTGCTGTGTCAGTGTTTTCTATTCCTTATTCTTTTAAAAACTGCTTTTCTCAGTGACTTCTTCATGCATTAGTAGACTTCTGGAGCATAGATGGTGCTTTGAATAGTAATCTAGTCTCCCATCACTTTGATTTACTTCACAACTCCAGGGTTACAAGATATTTTTGCTTCAACTTAGTGTTTTAGAATATTTTGACATTACAAAACACTGAAGAGTAGATTGTGCAAAACAATGCTGTTCTCAGTACAGAGACCAACCAGATGACCTAATGTGTCTTTTCAGTTTCTAACTTCTATGATATCTTACAGTATGGAATCTCTTTATAGCATAATAGCCCTTTATATGAAGTAATGAATATTTCATCTAATTCTTCTTTTTGATTTTGAGATACAATGTCGCTTTCTGATTAAACTACACACTGAAGTTAGAAAGCCGATGAACATCTTTCAACATCTTTCAACATCTTTTGTAGTCTTTTGATCACAAGGTGAAATCAAATTTGTTAAGGTCTGTACATTTTAATCAATATAAGTAATAGAACACTAATTATTTGAGTTTTTCTTGTGTAGGCAATAAAAATACAAAACCAAGAACACATGATCCTCCTCTTTTAAGTTGTATTTATTTTTATCAAAACCTTTCACCTCATTCAAAATCAATTCTATAGTCACTAAATCATCCAGTGTCTTTCATTTTAATATATCAGCCCCACTTTCTTCACCAGATATGGTACATGAATAATATGCTGTTTTTTTCATTATCAGAGTTTAGTTATACCTAACACTTTATATCTTCAAAAATATTTATAATTATTAACAACAATATAATTAGAAACACAACAGAACTTGACTTATTTCAGTAAAACTTTCTTGCCAACAGTTAAATTTTGTTAATATTTTCCAAGCAGTTTAAGAAATTCTTACTACATATTTTGAAAACAACAACAACAAAATTTACTTTCTTGGTCTGCTGTTCCATACATTAACAAGGAGGAAAATAATTTTATTGATTGCTGAATGGTATGAAAGGTCTTTGAAGGAGGCCCATATGTCTTTTAAGTACTGAAATACTGCACAAGACAAATGCTCTTCATAAAATCTGGTTCCCAGAACAACCCTGGACAGATGGTAATATGGTTATATATACAGTCATAAATAATAGTTTACTGGTCAATTTCCATTGAAGTCATAAAAAGAAAACTGTTTACATAGAGGATTTAAAATGATATCATGTTTGTTAATTTTTAATAGACTATTTTTTAGAGTAATGTTAGGGTTACAGCAAAATTGGGTGGATGGTACAGAGATATGGCATTAATAACTATACCAACTGAGACTGGGACTGTAAAAACGTGAAAACGAAGTTGCTTTCCTATAATAATTGCACTACATTTAGTAAACTTATTTAATGGCAAAGAAAAGAGTAAAGGTAGATGTAACTGACAGAAGCATCAGCTGGAAGCATCCTCATCCATGTGCACAACGAGGAAGGTTAACCCTGTTTAGCAGTTTGAATACACGAAGTAGCTAGCCTATGTTTGGGGCATGTGGCTGACTGTACTGGGAGTTAGTTACATGTAAGAGTGAGAGGGAGTCAACGAAAAGAGGCACAGGAAGGTCTTCAGGGCTGTGAGAGCCTAACATCAGAATCAATGTCTCCAGATTATTCAAGCCAGGGACATTGAAAATGTCATTCTGAAGTTTTGACACTCCAACCACCTTGCTAATAGAAGGCATCCCAGCAGCCTAAATGAAATAATCTGTGAAAGGCCGGAGGCCTTTAATTATAACTCCCTTAGGACGCTGAACCTGAGAACAGATCCATTTAATCCAAGACTCCCTTTTCACTTAAACAGAAAATTAAGTTTGACCAGAGAGAAAACCTAGATGAACTGCCAGTGGGGTCATCACAACCTTCCCTGGTGAATCAGAGAACCTTGATGTTTGGTTGTTGACACCTTAGGTATTTAGATGAACTCCCTTTCATCGCTTTTTTCCCCTGTAATATTCCCACAACCCCAACTCAAAGCACATCCTTACATTTGATTTTAAAATTATTCAAATAAGACTGACTAGTAGCCCAATTTTTCTCATCATTTTTCTCATCATTTTACTTGGGTAAGAGAAAACTTCTCCCTCTTTCTCTCAGTTTCTCAGGCATGTGAAAAGATGCAAGAAATAGGAAATCTGAGCACTGAAAGCCCATTTCGCATGCTCTAGATTTATAAATGCTTCAGAAAATGTACTGGTAAATATGAGATGTTGCACTTCGTTATTGTTCTTAAATATGATTATGCAGAAATCCTGATTAATTTCAAATTCTTCTACTTTTTAAAAGCACAGTTATGATAAATAATCTTGTGATATGTTCTAAAAACTAAATAAAATTAGTCCACCACCAAAGCCTAAAGTTATCTTCATTTGTCCTCATTTGCCACACTTTCACATGACCACATCATTATCACTACTCATAAATCACTGCATCTCTATCAAAAGCTATTATGTGTATCCATAATGAATCTAGTTTGAATATAAAATAATCTTTCTAAAACACAAAAAGTATTTCTATAATACAAATCTTTGTGTTTCTTTTCTGCCTGAAAGTCCTCATTGACTTTCCTTCACGTCTAACATGTTCAAGTTAAATCTTAACATGGTATTTCCTGCTACAATCAGAACCTAACTCACTACCCTGTCCTTATGGTTCAAGTGGCCTAGAGAACTGGGCAACTGTTTCTCATTCAAACTTGCCCAGGATGTTTCCAACACTCTGCTTTGGCTCAAACTCTTCCTTCTGATATACAGTGCCTTTCCCTGAAAGCATTGCACTTGCCATCATATGGATGTCCTTAATAGTGCATCACTGACTTTCAAAATTTACCAATATCTTAAGGCCCAACTTAAGTTTTACCTCTTTTGTAAACCCTCCGTCCCTAAGGTTGTCTCACCAGAATTAATTTCTCCATCCATTGGGTCACCATAGCAGCTCATCCATACATCTCTGACATCATTGACCACTCTGCACAACTTTGTAATCATTTGCATATATATTAGGCAGTGATCTCTGTGGCCCACCCACCTTCCAGAGTATGTTCCTTACAATTGGCTGTAAATGGTTTTGTCTTGAATTTAATTGACAATAATGCAGAACTAAAGCTCTGAGGCTATATTAACACTCTAGAAGATTTTGGTCCAATGTTAAAATAACATGTCTTCATAAATATATTAGGAACACCTCAGTGTTTGTTTCAATATGTAAATAGACATGTTTGATAGCTAACAGTCTAAGAAAGATGATATTTATTCAGCTCAAATGATTAAGGAAGCATTAAAAAAATCTGTAGTGACAAAAAGAAGCTAATATTAGGGTCAAATGGGAAGACAAAGACATACAATAAAACAACAGAAAACCCAGAATATTTACAGGGTTTAATAAAAACCATTCCCTGTAAGTTCAAATATGTATTACAAAGTTTACACCCAATTTGAGAATAAAGGAAAAACAAAGTATTTTAACAAGGACTCATCAGTTGCTGCCAGCCTCTGAGGCTGGCTTTTACCACTTACTCTGCCCTGCTTTCCTGAAGAAACACTGCCAATCTGAACAGCCTTAATGCTATCAGACCCTATCAGAAGGTGGGAGGTCTTGCAAAGATTTAAAATGTTGCTAATATAATCAATATCTGGGTTGCAGTTACACAGACAGTTGCCATCTGTTGGAACCTTTATATATTGGATTCCTTTAGTAATCATACAGTAGCTTCCATTCAGAAATTAAATACTCTCTTTCAATTCACTTATGAGAAAGCAATACTATGGCTCTAAGTCTGGAAGTCTCTACTGTCAAAAAGCATTCTGTCTTACACTTAAGCCTGGAAAAATCTTCCCTCCCAATAAAGCTTACCCTTTTCCTAACTCCTCCTCCTTCAGCCCTTTTGGAAGCACAATGCTCACTGTTTATATTTCCCACCCTTGAAGCCTAGGAGCCATCTCAGAAATATTAAGGAGATAAGAGTACCTATAAAAGCTCTTAAGATACTCTTAAATTTAGAGCAAACAATGGACTATTTACTTGCCTTATCTGAGGATGGGTGTTCCCTTCAGTTCATTAGAGAAGGCTAGAGCAGAGGAAATTTACACAAGGGACTTTAGGCCTCACAAATCTCCTAGGAAATGGCCAGATTTTCAGGGTACCAGCCCTTCTGACCTCAGCCGGTCCATCCAGATTCTAAATAGAATGCATTGTTTCAGGTAAAATCCTCCCTTTTCTTTATGAAGCTACAATTCTATATATATATATAACTAAAATAAGATTCACATAGGTAGATCAGGTAGATTTAAGAATAATGCGTCATTCAGGTGTGAACTTGAAGAGCCTTAAAGAAAACAAAAACAAAGGTTTGGAAATAAACAAAGACTACCCAAATAAGAAAAATCAGTGATTACTTATTGGGAGCTTGCCATAGCAGGAGAGTCAGCCTCCATCGCTTGCATTTGGCACAGACCCGAGGGCAGGCGGGGGAATGGGAAAATTATACAGTAAAAAAAGGGAAGGCTGCCAGGTGCGGTGGCTCACGCCTATAATTCCAGCACTTTGGGAGGCCAAGGCGGGTGGATCACGAGGTCAGGAGGTTGAGATCATCCTGGCCAACATATTTAAACCCCGTCTCTACTAAAAATACAAAAATTAGCCGGGCGTGGTGGCGTGCACCTGTAATCCCAGCTACTCGGGAGGCTGAGGTAGGAGAATCGCTTGAACCGGGGAGGCGGAGGTTGCAGTGAGCTGAGATGGTGCCACTGCACTCCAGCCTGCGCGACAGAGCGAGATTCCTTTCAAAAAAAAAAAAAAAAAGAGAGAAGGCTTCAGTTATGTTCTGATGGTCAATTTTTGGAACTGAAACAGGAGAGTTCCCTTATTCACTTCACAGGACGTGTGACAGGGTATGGCTCGCTACTTCCGACCCCTAGGGGAGCATGCAGACGGGCAGGTGCAGCAAGCGGCCGTGGGGAGCATTTTTTGGGTTCCAGCCCCACGGCAGTGTCTAAAGTGGGTGTCTGAGACTCCTGAAACTCAAGAGGGCTTATGTTACAGTGTGCTCTTTCAGCTTTGCCATCTGCAAATGGCTTGTGTTAATCAGCTCAATCGACCCTCACAAGGGCAGAGGGCCAGTGTAACAGCTTTCTGTATCTCAAGCTCTTGCCCAGTGTACCAGGAAAATTGGGTCACACGTGGGCTCGAAGGATGAGTGCAAGGTTTTATGGAGTGGTGGAGGTGGCTCTCAGAGAGATGGATGGGGAGCCAGAATGGGGGATGGAGTGGGAAGATGGTCTTTCCCTGGAGTTGGGCCACCCAGCAGCCAGACCCTTCTCTGACTGCCCCCAGTTGAACTCCCCTCAGGGTCCAGACCTCCCTTCTCTTTTCTCTTTCTCTGCTTTGTCATTCTGCCTTCGCTGGTCCGCTGGTCTGCTGGGGTCTGCTGGGGTCTGCTGGTCTATTCCTCTGCTCCTCTCAATATTCAGCTGCTTGCGTCTGTGCCTGCTATGGTCTCAGGTTTACATGGGCACAGGATGGGGGGGGGGTGTAGCAGGCAAGAATGGTCTTGGAAAATGCAACATTTGGGTGCAAACAGGAGTGCCTGTTCTCAATTAGGTTCATGGGCACAGGCCCAGGAGTGGAGCCCTCACCAGGAACCCCACCCTTTTCTACCCAGCGCTTCCCTGTCCCCCATCTCATATCAGAATGAGGAACCTGGAGGTGAGCTAACCAGAAACAAAGCATCCTATATGACTAGCTTGGGAAGCATATTTGGCTTTCTCTGGTTGAGCTTGAGTTGAAAACAGGGGTAAAATTTAGGGGAGCTGGCAGTAACCGAGCAAGTGCTGACTGTTTGGAACTGATTGCTGCAGAGGTTGTGGTTTGGCTTCCTAGGCTGGTTGTTGTAGAGGTAGTGGGTCAGTGTTCTGTTTTATATGTGGTCTGGCCACTGTCTGTTTGCATATTCGGTCTCTCACAGGGTTTCTATTGTTCATTTTTTAATTATTTGGAAATGAAATACTATTCAGGAAATTATTGAAAAGTTAAATAGAAACTAGAAACTTATCTCTGGATATTAATTCTAGAACTATTTATATTATAAAGGAGAGCATTGGTTTTTTACCGCCAAAAGAACTCATTATCTTGGAACGAGTTTCATCAAAATAGCATCAAAATTTTCCATTGAGGAAAATTCTTGGATTATGAGCTAGAAATAAAAGCTGCCCAAACAGTGTCTGTTTTTGTTGATTCAGTTTCAAAATAGAATTATAAAAGGATAAGTGGTTTGATAGGTCAATAGTTCAAACAAATAGTTATTGAAAAACAAACAAACAAACAAACAAACAAACAAACATATAAGAACCGATGAATACAAGTAAAGACTCAAAGGTTGTTGTGAAGATAGTGGACAGCAGCACACATATAATAAATGCCTTGTAAGGAGGTTGCAGAGAAAAAGGAACACTTTTACACTGTTGGTGGGAGTGTAAATTAGTTCAACCATGGTGGAAGACAGTATGGCGATTCCTCAAAGATCTAGAGGCAGAAATACCATTTGACCCAGCAATCCCATTACTGGGTATATACCCAAAGGAATATAAATCATTCTATTATAAAAATAAATATTCATTGCAGCACTATAGCAAAGACATAAAATCAACCCAAATGTCCATCAGTGATAGACTGGATAAAGAAAATGTGGTAAATACATACCATGGAATACTATGCAGCCATAAAAAGGAACAAGATCCAGCGATCTAATACAGGAACAGAAAACCAAACATCGCATGTTCTCACTTATAAGGGAGAGGTGAACAATGAGAACACATGGACACTCTGGGAGAGGAACAACACACAGTGGAGCCTGTAGGAGTGGGGGAGGGAGGGCATCAGGATAAATAGCTGATGCATTTGGGGCTTAATACCTAGGTGATGGGTTGATAGGTGCAGCAAGCCATCATGGCACACGTTTACCTACGTTAACAAACCTGCATGTCCTGCACATGTATTCTGGAACTTAAAATAAAACAAAGGGACAAGATTACGTCCTTTGCAGGGACATGGATGGAGCTGGAAGCTGTTATCCTCAGCAAACTAATCTAGGAACAGAAAACCAAATGCAGCAAGTTCTCATTTATAAGTGGGAGCTGAATAATGAGAACACATGGACACATGGGGAGGAACAACACACACTGGGGCCTGTCAGGGGATGGATGGGGGAGGGAGATCATCCCAAAAAATAGCTAATGAATGCTGGGCTTAAGGTGATGAGTTTATCTGTGCAGCAAACAACCATGGCACATGTTTACCCATGTCACAAACCTGCACATCCTGCACATGTACCCTGGAACTTAAAATAAAAGTTGAAGGAAAAAAGTCACCAATAACTGCCTTGTAAGCTAAACCAACAAGACTTGGAGATTCATAAGCTATGGAGATGAGGTGAAAAGAGGACTCTGGGGTGACTCCCTTGTCTCTGATTTTGATGATGATGTAGGTGGTGAGACTGTTGGCTGAAATTGTGGATTTAAGAGTGGGCACATTCAGAGGTCATATTCAGAAAGGGAAAAAAAGCCCAAGGGGAGAGACAGAACTAGAGATACAGAACTAGACTCCCTTTAGAGTCACTCATTCAATCATATTTTTTGAGTGGAGAATCCAAATAACAACCAACCAATTAATTGCAGCTGTAATACGTGCTATGGTGGAGCTAAGAGATCATCTTACAGGGGGAACTCAACTATTTTAGAGGATCAGGAAATGCAGAAGTAATATATAAACAATTAGCAACATGTGAATTACTGGGAGTTAGCTGGTCACTGAAGGACAGATCATTCCCGGCAGAGGGAATAGTGTAGGCAAAGGCACTAAGACAGGAAGAAGTATATTCAAGGAACTGAAAGCTGATGAGGCAGAAGTAGAAGAAATGGAGGAATAAATGTCTCTATATGAGACTGATGAGGCAGACAGACATCATATCATACAGAACCTTGAGGTCCATGATAATCTGGGATTTTATCTAGGGATAAAAGGGAAGCCATTAAAGTAGGTTAAGCAGAGAAATTTCATGAACAGACTTTCATTTTTAAAAGATGATTTTATTCACAGTGAGGTATATAAATTAAAAGAGTACAAGAGCAGATGTAAGGGACCGGTATGGAGGATATTGAAGTAGCCTATGTGAGAGGGAATAGCCATGGAGATAAAGAGAAATAGGTCAATTTCAGGCATAATTAGAAGAAAGATTAGAAATCTTGGTGATTGGTAGAATACTGATCCCAGTGAAGGAAAGATATCCACGATAATTTCCAACTTTCTGGCATGAGACATACCCTGGGCTCAGAAATACTGGGGGAAAGCCAGGAGTGGAAAGAAAATTATGAGCTTGGTCTTCAAGATGTGAAGCATAGGATGCCCATGAGATCAACAAGCACTGACGGCAATGAGACAGTTGTTGGTTCTACAGATCTGGAGCTCTGAGAAAAGTTGGAGTAAACAGAAAAAGCACACTTATAGATAGTGATTGAAGCCATGGTGATTTGGTGATAGTTGAAATTAACTAGAGAAAAAGGATTAAAGAAAAGGCCTTAGACAAAACTTTGAGAAATCCCAACTTATTTAAGGCCAGGTGGAAAAGAATGAGGTGGCCAAAGTGTAAAGGAGGAGGAAAACCAGAAAAGTGTAAGGTTATGAAAGGCAAGGATAGAGTGTTTCAGTAATAAGGGTATGGTGAACTGCCTCAGTACCCCAGATGGATCAAGTAAGAGGAGAATGAGAACATGGCCTTGGAGTCAGTGACATGCATGTCACTGGTGACCTCTAAAGAAGGGCTTTGGGTGCTATAGTGATGATAAAAGCCAGACTAGAGTAGGTTTGAAACTGAGTAGGATTTGAGAAAATGAAGGTAATAAATACAGACAATGCCTTCAAGAGGTTTGGATATAGTAGGGATGATAACTGGATGGGAAAATAGATACGAAAGGAGGCTTTGGGCTTTGTTTCTTTTGTGTGTTAAATTGTTAAGGCTGGAGCAGGTTCAATTGCTTATAGGATGGAAGAAGTCGAGTCAAGGGGATTGAAAAGATAGTTGTAAGAAAGGATAATAGACAGTGCAGGGTTCCTGAAGTGAAGTGTGGAAAGGACACGTGGAAAAAGGGAGTCATTGGCATACAGTGCTAATTACACCACAAGGATGAACACTCCACAAGTGTGATCATTGCAAGGCTCTTGTATCAGTTCGAACCCCGAGAGCGCACCAACAAACAACACAAGGCTGTGTGGAGCAACACGCTATTTTAATGAGCACCTGGGTGCAGGCAGGCTGAGGCCTAAAATGGCGTCAGCCCCAAGTGAGGACAGGGCAGGG
This sequence comes from Homo sapiens, assembly GCF_000001405.40. Lineage (NCBI taxonomy): Eukaryota > Metazoa > Chordata > Mammalia > Primates > Hominidae > Homo > Homo sapiens. The sequence goes on along the minus strand of NC_000013.11, from coordinate 78,062,117 downwards.
GTTTCACAGTCCTCTGTAAACAGGAAGTGTTCCAGTCTGATATGATTGCTATGTAGTACCCGCATGGCCTCCCTCTCGATCTTCGGGGGTATGTGTCTTCTGTCCTGCTCTCTTCCTGCTTCTGCTATCTTGCTGATGCATGCTGCTGGCACAAGTGACCTTGTGCCTTGGGAGTGGTCCTGAGGGGGGGGAGTTATTCATTCCCTTTAGCTTTCAGGCCCCAGGCAGAATCTTTCAATCATCTGATCAGCATGATGGGTGTAGATCCACCCTGTGATCTCTTCTTCATGACATGAGAACCTCTATGTAAGCCATTTCTGAAATTTAAGCCTCAGAAACTTATAATTCATTATTTAAGCATTGAGATTCTGCTTACGAGATGTTTCACTCTTTTACCTCCATCTATTTTGTGTAGCTAAATATGTGATCCAGAGACCCTCTGAAGGAAGCAGACTGTTCCTGCAGGACCCAGGAGATGTGTCAAAACTGTCAGTGCCCCAACTACAGAAGTGGGAAAGAGAGACCCTCCACTCTTAGACACACATCCCCACTGGAGAAGCTGAAGATCTGTTTGCAGGAGAAGTTTCTGACTTTACCTGGAGCTCTTTGGAGAACTGAGCAAAATACAGAGGTAGAAGAAGCAGCAGAAAGGCTCTGGGAGCTTGTTGGGTCCCCAAGCAGGCCATTTCTGCCTGGCACCACAGGGATCCAATGGGAAAGGAGCAAGGGGTAAAACTACACAGGGAGAAGGAAATCTCTAGCTAAACTTAGTGAAAATTAGAAAGAGGTGAGTGAAAATTAGAAAGAGGTGAAAATTAGAAAGAGGCGAGAAGCCTCCTGGCCAGAATTTGGGGGAGGGCAGACTCCACAAGGCTTTCTCTTTCACAGCTGGGAGGCGCATAGCCTGGGGCAGGTTTTCAAGCCCTTATTGCTGTCTGCCTGGAAACCGTCTGGGGACTGTTGCCCGGGGCATTGTAGGAGTGAGACTGGCACTGGCTCTTTGATTTGTGTGAGATGTGGGTGAGGCCTGTGACTGCTGGCTTTCCCCTACTTCCCTGACAAACTTCGTGACTCAGCAAAGGCAGCCGTAATGCTCCTAGGTACACAACTCCAGTGACTGGGAATCTTACCCCCATTCCCCACAACAGCCACAGCAAGACCCACCCAAGGAGAGTCTGGGCTCAAAATGCCTAGCCCTGCCCCCACCTGACGGTCCTTCCCTACCCATCCTGGTAGCAGAAGACAAAGGACATATAATTTGGGAGTTCTAGGTCCCCACCCACTGCTGATTCCTCCCCATGATACCACAGCTGATGTTCTCTGGAAAGCACCACCTCCTGGCAAGAGGTCAACCAGTGCAAAAATAGAACATTAAACCATCAAAGCTAAGAACCCTCACAGAGTCCATTGCCACCTCTGCCACCTCCACCAGAACAGGCACTGGTATCCATGGCAGAGATCCATAGACAGTTCACATCACAGAACTCTATGCAGACAACCCCCAGTACCAGCCTGGAGCTGGATAGACTCACCGGGTGGCTAGATCCAGAAGAGAGAAAAAAATCACTGCAGTTTGGCTCACAAAAAGCTAAATCCATTAGGAAAAGGGGGAGAATATGACATCAAAGGAACTTCCCATGAAAAAAAAGGATCTGAACAGCCTTCAGCCCTAGACCTTCCCTCTGACAGAGCCTACCCAAATGAGAAGGAACCAGAAAACCAGCCCTGGTAATATGAAAAGCAAGTTTCTTCAACACCCCCCAAAAAATCACACTAGTTCACCAGCAATGGATCCAAACCAAGAAGAAATCCCTGATTTACCTGAAAAAAAAAAATTCAGGACGTTAGTTATTAAGCTAATCAGGGAGGGACCAGAGAAAGGTGAAGCCTAGTGCAAGGAAATCCAAAATACGATACAAGAAGTGAAGGAAGAAATATGCAAGGAAATAGATAGTTTAAAGAAAAAACAATAAAAAATTCAGGAAACTTTGGACACACTTTTAGAAATGCAAAATGCTCTGGAAATTCTCAGCAATAGAATTGAACAAGTGGAAGAAATTCTGACCTCGAAGACAAGGTCTTTGAATTAACCCAATCCAACAAACACAAAGAAAAAAGAATAAGAAAATATGAACAAATCCTCCAAGAGTCTGGGATTATGCTAAATGACAAAACCTAAAAATAATTGGTATTCTTGAGGAAGAAGAGAATTCTATGAGCTTAAAAAACATATTTGGGGGAAAAATGGAGGAAAACCTCTCCAGCCTTCCTAGATGTTACGGGGGACTTTGTGCTTATAGCTCCCAAGACAGTGGAGGGCCGCTCCCAAGATGGAGTGGGCCGCTCCCAAGAGGGCGGCAAGCCTTTTGTTCTCTGACCTGGGGTTCTTGGCCTCACAGATTCCAAAAAATAGAACCTTGGGCCATGCGGTGAGTGTTATAGCTCTATTAGAAGCCGTGGGTCACGGAAGAGAACTGTGGAACCCAGTGACTAGTGTTCAGCTCGATTAGAATGAACAAAGGCACTTAGCCTGTAGGAACAATGGCTAGCCTTTAGCCCAATCGGGAGCAGTAATGGGCTCCTTGATGAATCAGGAGCGCAGCCGACACCCTGCTGGATAGGGAGGGGTGGAAGTCAGCAGCGGGTCTGCGATGGCGGCAAACAGCAGTGGTGCATGGCGAGCGAAAGCTCAGCTCACCAGAAGAGTGTGCAGTTGCAAGATTTAATAGAGTGAAAAACAGAGCTTCCATACAATGGGAGTGGACCCAAAGGGGGTTGCCACTCCCTGCTCGAATGCCTAGGTTTATATCCTGATCATTATCCCTCACCCTGTGCTCTCAGGTGATAGATGATTTGATTATTTTTTACCTCCTGTTTTTAGCCTAATTGGTATTTTCGTGAGCCCTCTTTACTACCTGATTGGTCTGGTGTGAGCTGAGTTACAAGCTCTGTGTTTAAAGGTAGGTGCAGTCACCTTCCCCAGCTAGGCTTAGGAATTCTTAGTCAGCCTAGGAAATCCAGCTAGTCCTGTCTCTCATAGAGACCGAGACATCCAAATATAAGAAGCACAAAGAACACCCGAGAAATTCATTGCAAAAAGATCTTCGCCTAGGCATATTGAGTTCTTTCCCTTAAAATGAGAACACAAGGGCATTACCCACCATGAGGCCTCATATGATATTCCCCATTCTGAGCCCAGAACACCCAGAACTTTGGAAATTGGCTATTGCCATGGTTGGCCTGCAAGTATGGGAAGAGGAAATTTTCTGTCTGTTGTCCCCACTACTGCCCCTCACATCCGTGATTCTGAACCCCATGATAAATCCTCTTTGAACTCTCCTCCTCTTTTAGATGCTGATCCTCCTTTATGGGACTCTGATTGGCCTTATGATAATTCTTCTTCACCCAGGTATGCGCCTCCACCTCTTCGGCATTCCTGAGCACCTCGGATTGCTTCTTTACAGTAGAGAACATCGGGCGTTGCCACTGCCGCTTCTCTCCCTCAGTATCGATGTAGATTGAAACATTCCGCTTTGTTTACCTCCAACCTGACTATTCCTATACAGAGTTGTGTTAAGCCTTCTTACATGCTGTTAGTGGGAAATATCAAAATTTGGATGAACAATCAAACTGTCCAATGCATTAATTGTCATTTATACACTTGTGTTAACTCCCATTTTGACTTCAGGAAAAGTGTAATGTTGTGTGAGCTTGAGAAGTGAGAAGGAATCTGGATACTGGTAACTTTACCCAGACCTTGGGAATCTTCACCCTCAGTACATTTAATTAATGAAGTGTTACAACGAATTCTCAAAAGATCTAAGAGATTCGTTTTCACTTTAATCGCTGTGATCATGGGCCTAATTACAGTCACTGCACTGGCCACCACCGCCGGCGTGGCATTACACCAACCTATTCAAAGGGCTGATTTTGTTAATGATTGGCAAGCTAATTCCACCCAAATGTAGAATTCTCAACAGGGCATTGATCAAAAATTAGCTAATCAAATTAATGATTTAAGACAGTCTGTTATTTGGCTTGGAGATCAGCTAATAAGTCTCAAACATCGCATGCAAATGCAGTGCGATTGGAATACTTCTGATTTCTGTATCACACCATATTCCTACAAGAAGACTGATCATTCATGGGAAATGGTCAAAGGACACCTGCTGGGTAGGGAACATAATTTATCCTTGGACATAACTAAATTAAAGAAACAAATTTTTGAAGCCTCTCAAGCTCATTTATCCATTGTGCCTGGAACTGAGGCACTAGATCAGGTGGCAGAAAGTCTTTCTGGACCAAACCCCACGACTTGGATTAAGTCTGTTGGGGGCTCCACTGTAGTAAATTTTGGAATTATGTTTCTCTGTTTAATCAGCTTGTTTTTAGTGTGCTGGACCAGTCAAAGAATCCTGCGTCAAAACCGAGAGAATGAATAAGCCTTCATTGCCATGGCACATTTATATGAAAAGAAAGGGAAAGATGTTGCAGGAAGTCAGGGACCCCAAGTGGAGGGATGGCTGGAGCCGTGGCAGAGGAACATAAATTGTGAAGATTTCATGGACATTTATCAGTTCCCAAATAATACTTTTATAATTTCTTATGCCTGTCTTTACTTTAATCTTTTAATCCTGTTATCTTCATAAACTGAGGATGTATGTCACCTGAGGACCACTGTGATAATTATGTTAACTGTACAAATTGTTTGTAAAACGTGTGTTTGAACAATATGAAATCAGTGCACCTTGAAAATGAACAGAATAACAGTGATTTTTAGGGAAAAAGGGAAGATAAACATAAGGCCTGACTGCCTGCAGGGTCGGGCAAAAAAAGCCATACTTTTCTTCTTGCAGAGAGCCTATAAATGGACATGCAAGTAGGGAAGATGTTGCTAAATTCTTTTCCTAGCAAGGAATAATAATATTAATACCCTGGGGAAGGAATGCATTCCTGGGGGGAGGTCTATAAATGGCCACTCTGGGAATGTCTGCCTGATGTGGTTGAGATAAGGACTGAGATATGCCCTGGTCTCCTGCAGTACCCTCAGGCTTACTAGGGTGGATAAAAACTCCGCCCTGGTAAATCTGTGGTCAGACCAGTTCTCTGCTCTCGCACCTTGTTTTCTGTTGTTTAAAATGTTTATCAAGACAATACATGCACTGCTGAACATAGACCCTTATCAGTAATTCTGCTTTTGCCCTTTGCCTTGTGATCTTTGTTGGACCCTTATCAGTAGTTCTGCTTTTGCCCTTTGTCCTGTTCCCTCCGAAGCATGTGATCTTTGTTCTGCCTTTTGCCCTTTGAAGCATGTGATCTTTGTACCTACTGTCTGTTATTACACCCTCTCCCCTTTTGAAACCCTTAAGAAAAAACTTGCTGGTTTGAAACCCTTAATACAAAACTCAGGTGGGCATCATGGTCCTACCAATATGTGATGTCACCCCCAGCAGCCCAGCTGTAAAATTCCTCTCTTTATACTGTCTCTCTTTTTATTTCTCAGCTGGCCGACACTTATGGAAAATAGAAAAAACCTACGTTGAAATATTGGGGGCAGGTTCCCCCAATACCCATTTCTTCATTGTACAGTAAAATCCAACATGATACTTCCTTCTGGAACAGACATTGAAGTTTTGCTCTAATCTGTGGAAATTGTCCAAATGGCATACAGCAAATGAGGAAACATCTATTTAAGAAAATCTACTAAAATTCAGAACAATGAGAGTCTGTAACATTTGAGCCACCTTCTACACTCTCCCTCTTTACCCTAAGCTCAGCCTAACAGAAACTTCAATCCAAGTTGTCAAAAAGATGAGTTCCTTCTCTTTACAATTTCTGATCAAGAGTTGCCATATTTTATTGGGAGGGGGAAACCACTAACATTTTTCATCCTCTCCAACTCCATGAAGAGGATATATTCCAGGTGCATGTTGCCAAAGGGTTGGTGGCTATCTTCCTCCCACCAGCTCTCAGTCAGGATGGAGTGTCTACTCTGTGCATGGCTGGCAAGAAGATTGGGGTTCTGATTTTCCTGACATGAACTCAATCTTTGGGCAGCACCCCACGCCAGGAGAGTCAAGACAAAAAGTCTGGAGGACCAGAGGCTAACTCCTCTAGCCAGTGCCTGGAGTAGGGTTGAGACATCTTAACCAAATGAAAGGGGAATCCATAGGAAAAGGGACATCTGAATGCCCCCCAAAGGAATTGATTTTATTTTAAACAGAATATGGTGAAGTTCAAGTATAAGGGTACTAACAGTGGATCTCTCGGCAGAAACTCTACAAGCTAGAAGAGAGTGGGAGCCAATATTCAACATTCTTAAAGAAAAGAATTTTCAACCCAGAATTTCATATCCAGCGAAAACAAATAGCTCTTCTTAAGTGACAGCAAAAAGTTTAACCATAGGCCAGCTAGTTCACCAGACAGAAAAAGAGAAAGAAGTACATAAGAAGTGCCCTCCTGGGATCTCCATAAACCTCAAAAACTGTCTTTAAAAACTACTACTGCAGCTGGGTATGGTGGCTCATACCTGTAATCCCAGCACTTTGGGAGGCCAGGGCAGGTGGATCACCTGAGGTCAAGAATTAGAGACCAGCCTGGCCAACATGGTGAAACCCCATCTCTACTAAGAATACAAAAATTAGCCTAGCTGGTGATGGACACTTGTAATTCCAGCTACTCAGGAGGCTGAGGCAAGGGAATCGCTTGAACCCAGGAGGCAAAGGTTGCAGTGAGCCAAGATCACGCCACCACACTCCAGCCTGGGTGACAGAGCAGGACTCTATCTCAAAAAACCAAAACAAAAACCAAAAGAAAACAAAACAAGAAATAAAACTAATACTACATGGGTTTAATCAGATAATGCTACAGAGCAATTTATGAACAACTCCAGATACGCTGCCTTAAAAGCTGTAACACTCACCACGAAAGTCTGCAGCTTCACTCCTAAGCCAGCAAGACCACAAACCCACCAGAAAGAAGAAATTCCAAACACATCCAAACATCAGAAAGAACAAACTCCAGACGCGCCACCTTAAAAGCTGTAATACTCACCGCAAAAGTCCGCAACTTCATTCTTAAAGTCAGTAAGACCAAGAACCCACCAATTCCAGACACATTTTGGTATGCTTCAGGGCATTGTCCAAAACAATAGAGCAATCAGCTGATAATTTGGATGTGATATCAAATGAGCCAGGCAGCTTAACAGAGAGATCAGGAAAGGAGAAAGAGAGCCCTGCTAAAACTGTTGTCCCAAGTAACTATGAATGTCCAAAGCTGTGCCTTACTTAGGAGAGACACTGCAGGGAAATAGACTTCATTAAAATAGACTGGCCATGTCACCAATCAATAAACAAGCAAATGATAATGAAAACAGCCCACCTAACAGGGAAGGGGAATCATTAGTCCTTGCTTAGGAGTAGGCAAGGTGGGATGATTTGGGGGTACAGAGGATTTTTTTGGAGTAATGCAAATATTAGAAAATTGGTTGTGGTGATGATTACACAAGTCTGTAAATATATTAAAAGCAATGGAAAAATTGTATGGTATGTGAATTATATTTCAAGGAAGATGTTTTAAAAATACCTGAAATTACTATTTAAGCATAGAAACCAACAGTTCATCCTCAAACGCTCTGAAATGTATTTAGACTGCCAAGTGAAAGAAGTTTTTCAGCCAAAGCAGAAATTGTAAACTTGCCTAGGTTTATTCAAATAGTTTGGCAGGGAACCTGTGGGAATTGAGCTCTGGGCTGATGGTCAGCCAGCACTTCCAGTGACCAGCAGTGACGGAGGGTGGCACATCATTTATCATGTTTGTTACTGGCTAAAATAAATACTGCTGCCTCTGGGCCATGCACTGGACATGTAAAATCTTCCCAAGTCTGCAGTGCTATGAACTCTGCAGACCTACGTATGTTATCAAAAATATCACACTGACCTTATGTCTGTGAGCATCAGACTAGTAAGGAAAGTGAAAGATTTTAGAAAAGGGAATCTAATTAGAAACATCCCTTTATCCTCATATCGTTCTATTTGTTTAAAAAGTTTACCATTTTCAGGTGATGCTCCATTTTTTATTGCAATTTTTGAGTGTGTTAACAAGAATGTTTTCTGAACTCATCATTGGTTGGCTTCTTCTAAATGGAAACCTCTTGTCTGAACATTTATGTGTCTAAGACCAAATAGTGTTCATTCTAACTTGAATGGGAGGTGTTCGCTGTCAATTCCTGTAACTTATTTAGCCTTGACTGAGGAAAGCTATTCTTCTGCAATAATGATGTTCTGTGACTTTCAGTATAGCACGGGGGGAATATTTAGGGGGAAAAAATGACCTGCTTAAATAGTCAAATCAGTGGCAATTATTGAGATAACAGTCATTCAATCATCTAACGTCATTAATACAACATATGCTAGAGATGGTGCTAGGTCTTGAGGCTGTAGAAGTGAAATAGTAACACCTTTTGCCCACCCATTCCAAGGGTCTTGCCTGACACTCCTACAACAAAAGACAGGTTACAAGAGAAAAGCATAACAAATTTATTTAACAAAGTTTTACGTGACACAGGAGACTTCAGAAATGAAAGCCCAAAGATCCAGGGAAAACTTGACAGTTTTTTGCTTGCACTCAATGCAGGATCAGCTGTATAGAAATACGATTGGACAAAAAGGGTGTGTTGTAATGGTGATAAACTGAAGGAGCCCAGTAAGGCCTGTTTTTTCAGATTCTTCCGGGCCTCTCTATGCAGCATTCCTTCTTCCAGGTATAGGGTATGACACCTGTCACATAAGGACCCTCAAGGGAAAAGGGAGAAGACCAGAGAGTAAAGTTTATAGGTTTTATGGCCTGCTTTCAAGGAGAATAGTTTTAGTTTCTATGACCCACTTTTGGTAGAGAAATGGGGAAAGGAGAATAGGAGAAGGTCAGAGAGAAATTCTTGCTTCTGAGGCCCTTCCAATTTCCTTCCATTGAAAGTACTCAGCAGACCATGGTGTTATATTTTGGGATGACATGTTCTAAGCCCCAACCAGGGCCATGGCAGTGCCTAAGATATAGCACACACACTCAAGGAAAGCCCCAGTCAGTGGCATTGCCTTAAGGTGAACTCAAACTGCCGACCTGAAGGGATGTCTGTGATGCAAATTATTATTTCCATGTCTATTCAGTTTGCTTTTCTTTCTCTCAGTTAAAGGGAAAGAATATCCCAAGTCTTTGTATTCAGAGGAATGTTCATCCTCATTCTCTGAATATCCATCCAGAGGGGCTAGAGAAGTGAAGTGAGAAATTATAGGTGTTTACACAATCATGACAAATAGAAGACACTTGGATGCAACACTACCAACATCCCTTGCTGTCTTTTACCCTAAATTACTTGTGAAATTGAAATATAGTTACAAAAGCATCTTCCTCATTTCAAACAAAAATTGTAAAATGTATAAGTTACAATTAAGAGGTTATAATTCTTAAAAGAATTCCAAAAAGCAAAAGCTTCCAAGTAAGTGTGAATCACATCAGAAAAGTTGAGAAAATAATTTTTAAAAAGTAGAATGAGGGAGGCAATCCTGGATCTTATTGACAGGGCAATGAAAGTAATAGCACATGGACTTTTCATTACATTGTTTCTTAAGCTGGTATTATGTGAAATATAATAAAATGATTGGTATCACCCTAGAGACATCTGAACCATCAAAAACTGGAGAGCAAGAAAAAAATGACTAATGGAGAATCTCCATGCTGTTGCTGTAGTTTAAACTGACAGAAAGCTCCCCCTCTCCCTTTCACTCATTGTGGACTCACCCTTAGGACTAGCTCTGGTGATGGTCTCCAGGCTCAACTGACGTCACTTCAGGTCTTTTTGGAGTCTGTCTCTTTCTCTATTTTCTGCCCAGTCAGATACCACTGTAGCCTAGTGCACTTCATTTTAAATGAACTTAGGAAAATGTTTCTGAACATCTTTTAAAAAAAAGTACTGTTTTTCTATCTTTTTAATCCATGTAATACTTTCACTTGATTTTTTGGAAAAATTTACATGGTGCTGAAAAGCATATGTAACTCAACCCAAATCAATAGAAGCAAAGGTTTCTGTTTTCGTAGTTGCCTCTACATTTCCATAGTACTTGCTTATGTAGCTATTTCTTGATTGGTTAGTTTCAGACATCATGTATTGACTTACCTTTAGATGAGAAAAGGACTTACCCTCCTTGCACTATATCCTGCCTTCCCATTTTAGATATATCATCATATCTCATTAAACAGTTAAGCCTTACATTAATAAGTCTATGTAAATACAATAATTGATTAAACAGTCAGAAAGTTACTATGATTCTATTTGCTTTTGTGCTTCAGACTTTTTCTTGCTCTTGCCATATATATTAATCAAATACTGTTAGTTCTAAATCGTCCATCTACCATATCAAGTGCTCTTTTATTCTGTGGATCTTCCTTTCTGTCTACCTTCCTGCTCCAAACCAAACTGGCAAATCTCTAAACCTGTCTGTGTGTGACAGATACTTAATATATTATTGGGAAACTTCATGGCAGTATATAGAGATATTCCTCATTCCTTTATTTTACTTTTTAATTTTTTTCAGTTAACAATGGAGTCTCGTCCTGTCTCCCAGGTTGGAGTGCAGTGGCATGATCATAGCTCACTGTAACCTTGAACTCCTGGGTTCCAGCAATCCTCCCACCTCAGCCACCCAAGTAGCTAGATCTAGAGGTGCATGCAACCATGCCCATTTTTTTCATTTTAATACTTTTTTTATTGTAGACATAGAGCCTCACTTTGTTGCCCAGGCTGGTCTTGAACTCCTATCCTCAAGTGATCCTCCCACATCAGCCTTCTAAAATGCTCAGATTAGTGACATGAGCCATGGCACCTGGCCCCTCATTCCTTTTTATAGCCGCATGGTATTTCATTGCTTGGGTCCACTATATTTTATTCCAGCAGTCCCCTACATATAGAATTTTTTCTCTTTAGCTTTTTGCTTTTGAAATAGTGTTGTATCAAACAGCTTTGAGCATAAGCCTTTTATTTTTTATTGATTCCTAGAATTGGTATTACTTGGTCAGAGAATAAATTTATATGCAATTATTCTAGATATTGCTAAATTTCCTTCCATTGGGTTTTATATTTTTGCGCTCTCTTCAGTTATAAATATAATTGCATGTTCACTCATAATCTCTCAAACAGAGTACTTGTCAAATTTAGGGAAATCTTTCAAATTGATAAATCAGAAATTGGATCATAATTTTGAGTGCAGTGGCGCAATCTCGGCTCACTGCAACCTCCTCCACCTCCCTGGTTCCAGCAATTCCCCTGCCTCAGCCTCCCGAGTAGCTGGGCTTACAGGCACATGCCCGCAGGCCCGGCTAATTTTTAGTAGAGACAGGGTTTCACCATGTTGGCTAGACTGGAATAATCATGTTCTTAATCTGTATTTTGCTTATTGTGAGTGAGACTAAGCATTTTTTTCACATTATTCACAAATATTTAAACTTATCAATTCACTCTGCTCATATTCTATAGCTCATTTTAGAATTACAGAAAATCATTTTATTTTAATCTATTATTATTTTAATGACAAACTAGCTTAGAATCAGGTCATTTTCTATAGGATTACTGGCCTCTTCTGTATTTTAGAAGCTATTTATATAAAAAGACATTGACTTTTTATCTATGATATAAGTAAACACATATCTGGTCTTGTTATAAATTTTGCAAGAAATATTCCCCTGTGAAATAAAGTGATGGTTATTAGAATAGAAGTTATATAACATATACTGCTGAATTAAGGACTTAATCCATCAATTCCAACCTTATTCGATCCTTTTACTTTTTTAAAACATGATAGATTTTGAATTTTGTCAAATGCCTTTTCTGTGTCTATATAAGCAGATATAAGCATGAGGTGTTTTATCTTAACTCTAATGTGTTAGATTTCATTAATGGGACTTCCTGATATTTAACGACTCTTCAATTCCTAGAATAAAGCTTACTTGGTCATAATGTATAGAGTTTTTAAATAAATCTATTTGCTAGTAATTGATCTAAGATTTTAATGCAGATATTTATAAATGGGATCGGTCTGCAGTTTTCTTTTTTCATTGAATCTGTCAGGTTATAGAAGAAAATATTTTGCTGATTTTATAAAAATAAAAGTTTAACCTCTTTTCCCCTGGACTGGAAAGACTTAAGGTGCATTGAGATTATATGATGTTTAACGTGCACTTTAGAGAATGAAGTAAGAAGTTTGTGAAGCCATCAAAGTCTAAAGCTTTTATTGTGATGGAGCTTGTTAGCTGCTTCCCCTTTTCTTCTATGGCAATTGCTGTCTTTAGATATTCTCTCTACTGGGGCCAATTTGAGTAAGCAGTATTTTTATACAAAATTTTCTTGAAAACTGGCATAAGACAGGGATGCCCTCTCTCACCACTCCTATTCAACATAGTGTTGGAAGTTCTGGCCAGGGCAATCAGGAAAGAGAAAGAAATAAAGGGTATTCAATTAGGAAAAGAGAAAGTCAAATTGTCCCTGTTTGCAGATGACATAATTGTATATTTAGAAAACCCCATCATCTCAGCCCAAAATCTTCTTAAGCTGATAAGAAACTTCAGCAAAGTCTCAGGATACAAAATCAATGTGCAAAAATCACAAGCATTCCTATACACCAATAACAGACAAACAGAGAGCCAAATCATGAGTGAACTCCCATTCACAATTGCTTCAAAGAGAATAAAATACCTAGGAATCCAACTTACAAGGGATGTGAGGACCTCTTCAAGGAGAACTACAAACCACTGCTCAACGAAAGAAAAGAGGACACAAACAAATGGAAGAACATTCCATGTTCATGGATAGGAAGAATCAATATTGTGAAAATGGCCATAGTGCCCAAGGTAATTTATAGATTCAACACCATCCCCATCAACTTACCAATGACTTTCTTCACAGAATTGGAAAAAACTACTTTAAAGTTCAAATGGAACCAAAAAAGAGCCCGCATTGCCAAGAAAATCCTAAGCCAAAAGAACAAAGCTGGAAGCATCACGCTACCTGACTTCAAACTACACTACAAGTCTACAGTAACCAAAACAACGTGGTACTGGTACCAAAACAGACATGTAGACCAATGGAACAGAATAGAGCCCTCAGAAATGATACCACACATCTACAACCATCTGATCTTTGACAAACCTGACAAAAACAAGAAATGGGGAAAGGATTCCTTGTTTAATAAATGGTGCTGGGAAAACTGGCTAACCATATGTAGAAAGCTGAAACTGGATCTCTTCCTTACACCTTACACAAAAATTAATTCAAGATGGATTCAAGACTTAAATGTTAAACCTAAAACCATAAAAACCCTAGAAGAAAACCTAGGCAATACCATTCAGGCCATAGGCATGGGTAAGGACTTCATGACTAAAACACCAAAAGCAATGGCAACAAAAGCCAAAATTGACAAATGGGATCTAATTAAACTAAAGAGCTTCTGCACAGCAAAAGAAACTACCATCAGAGTGAATAGGCAAAGTACAGAATGGGTGAAAATTTTTACAATCTACCCATCTGACAAAGGGCTAATATCCAGAATCTACAAAGAACTTAAACAAATTTACAAGAAAAAATCAAACAAACCCATTAAAAAGTGGGTGAAGGATATGAACAGACACTTCTCAAAATAAGACATTTATGCAGCCAATAGACACATGAAAAATTGCTCATCATCACTGGCCATCAGAGAAATGCAAATCAAAACCACAATGAGATATCATCTCACACCAGTTAGAATGGCGATCAATAAAAAGTCAGGAAACAACTGGTGCTGGAGAGGATATGGAGAAATAGGAACACTTTTACACTGTTGGTGGGACTGTAAACTAGTTCAACCATTGTGGAAGACAGTGTGGCAATTCCTCAAGGATCTAGAACTAGAAATGCCATTTGACCCAGCCATCCCGTTACTGGGTATATACCCAAACGATTATAAATCATGCTGCTATAAAGACACATACAAACATATGTTTATTGCAGCACTATCCACAATAGCAAAGACTTGGAACCAACCCAAATGTCCATCAATGATAGATTGGATTAAGAAAATGTGGCACATATACACTGTGGAATATTATGCAGCCATTAAAAAGGATGAGTTCATGTCCTTTGTAGGGACATGGATGAAGCTAGAAACCATCATTCTGAGCCAACTATCACAAGGACAGAAAACCAAACACTGCATGTTCTCACTTATAGGTGGGAATTGAACAATGAGAACACCTGGACACAGGGTGGGGAACATCACACACCAGGGCCTGTCCTGGGGTTGGGGGAGGGGGGAGGGATAGCATTAGGAGATATACCTAATGTAAATGATGAGTTAATGGGTGCAGCACACCAACATGGCTCATGTATACATACATGACAAACCTGCACGTTGTGCACATGTACCCTAGAACTTAAAGGATAATAATAATAAAAAATATATGTATCTATTTTATCTATGTTTTAAAATTTAAGTTGCCTACAGGTTTTTTAGTTTTTTTGTTTTTAATAAAAATCCTACTGTATACAACATTAAACATGGACACACATCTTACTCTCAATATTTCAATAGTACCACCTGGGCTATGATAATCTCATCATAGCTACTATTAAACAATATATTAGTTTTATATTCTTAACTTGAATGTATTGTACTTTAAGTTGTACTCTTTTATATTTAGCTAAATTTACTTATAGACTTTCTACTAATTGGCAATTTGCCAGCTTACAGGTGGACATGTGTGCTACTTCTGTATATTTTTATTGCAAAGAAATCCTGTAGAAGACCTGCTAGAAAGGTCTCCCTTCTTTTCCAGTGAAGCGTACTTTGGCAGATGAAGCAAGAGAAGATTTAGGTAGTCAAGCAAAATTTAACATCTCTCTCTTCTATAGTTACACTGAAACATTTTCCAGACCTTGACAAGTCTTTGCGACAACGCCCTCATTCTTATACCATTTCCTCCTTTATGGTTCCCTAAGCCCTCATCTCTTTTTATCTCTTCTACCTGAAAATCACTTCTCTGACCTCCCTTTATCTACTAAGAAAATATTTTTAATATTTCTTCTCTCTTTCTCTCTCTCTTCCCCTCTCCTCTATATGCCTCATTTTGAAACATTTGTTCTTCCAAAGACACCATATTTATTAAAGTTACATTTTTTCACTCATGCTATCAGTGTTCCATGATTGCATATCAAAGCAAAGAATCCTTTAAGATTCTTAGCTATCCTTTAGGATCGCTTACAACACTTAATACATTTCTCTTTCATTTGCTGATATTTTTAAAAATGGTTCTTTATCCCTACTATATTTTGGGGATTCCCAGGTCTAGAGATTCTATTCTGGGGATGCACAATAATAAAATACTTCTTTTCCAAGTAGTCCCAACAAGAAGAACGTAGAAACTTGAAGAAGTTGAGTTTCAGTGTACATGGAAATAGTGTGTTTCATTATGCAAATAGATTTCCCCTGAACTGGCCTGCATTAAGAAAGAGCATCTGCTAATTATACCAGGGGGCAAGACTACAAAGGCCAATTTACATTCTATGTGTGGTGTCCTTGATTTGTTTCTGAGAACCAAAACAATATAAAGGGTTACAGATGGTTTAATTATTGACAGTCACTCCCTTACTTTCTCCCTGAGGGTGTCAGGGTCTGAGGCTCTGCTCACCTCACAGCAGTGGCTCAGCCACCCTGGCGAAGGCTTCCAGGATCCCCTTAGCATAGGCTCAAAGGTGGGGGTCTTTCTGGTAGCCTCTGAATGACACTATGCTCAATATAATGATAAATAAAATGAAACAAACTAGTGGACTCCTTCTATTTAATTGCTTCCTCCTTGTCTGCTGTTCGCCTTTGTCTATGTTGAAGTAACTGCTTCCTCTCACTAAAGTACATTCTTGGTGAGATCATTTTTCTTGTATCTTATCCAAAGTTCTGTTTTGCATGTGTGTGTGTATGTGTGTGTGTGTGAGACTTATCCACAGACCTGATTAAAATCCAATTATCAAGGGACAGTGCAACACAACGGGTTGCATCCTGGAGCAGCAGCTGTGAGACCTGCACTCTCCTTCCAAATTTGGCTCTTATTGGTGGAGTGGCCTTGAACAACCCCTTTTGCTCAGTTCCCATATGCGAAAAATAGGGTAACAATGAATATTTCACAGGAATTTTATAATTAATAGTATATATGAAAACATTCATTAAAAACTAAAAAACCATATATGAAGAGAAAAATGCAATTACTGTATGCTTTGTAGCACTTATTTATTTAAAGCTTATATCTGCCAGTCCTCTTACAGCTAATTTTAAGTCTATTTTTAAGTACATTAAAACTTTGAATATTAACAACAACTCTTTAAATAGGTACTGTTATCCTCATTTTACAGATGAAGAAACTGAGGTTCAGAGAGGTTAAGTACCTTGCTGAAGGTCACACAAGCAGAGTGGTTTGTCTATGGAGGCTAGGTTTTTGATCATGACATTGTACTCCTTTGTGTACAGTATCTTGGGCATAAGAGGCCCCCCAAAAGGAGAAAGAGGTAGTTAATTAAGCATAGTAAGTTATATATAGTAAAAGATATTTAAAAGTTTTTAATACTGTGCTTTGACATATTCAGCATCCTTGGCCTATTAAAATAAGCCCACCAACTTTCTAATTAACAGAGCCCAAACTGTAATTGTTATTTCATGTTTATTTTCAAAGCTACTTGTGAATGGCAGCATCTGTGAGCTTTTGGTGGACGCTTCTGTAGGTGCCTTCCAAGTAGTCATTCAAGTAGGACAAACAAAAATTTCATGCAAATATTCATGAATACTGACAGTTTTTAAAAATCTGTACTATTAGAAAGTGATTTTATTTGTTATCTAAGAGTTAACCTATGTCTAACAAAAATGTTTATTTTTTGAGTCACCAAATTTATTTGAAAACCTTTCCCATTCAGGTAGGAGAACACTGATTTTCATCTCATTTCAATTTAAACACTGTAATTCCTTCTCACCACACCCTTCAAGAAAAGTCTATTAGTTATTTTTCCTTCCACATTTTTGGTTGCGGTTGGTACAGGTGAATATACATAAAATGGACCTATTGATTTCAAGGCAAATATCATCAATTACAGCCACTTAAGACTAGGACATCCTCACCTCTGCTTGGTTTTTACTGGTGGTGACCCACATAGCCTGTGACTTGACATGGTCTATTTTAACCTTCTCAAGAACCTATTTCCAATGCCCTAAGTTGTAAATTTGTCTCTTATTTTATTTCATAGAATGGTCCTGAAGCACTGAACTTGTCAATGCAGGATTTTTGCATTTTTGTATTAATCAGTATGTAAAATGGAAGGGCAGCTTATAGGACACAAAGTACATAGGCTGTTTTGGGGACATTTGGATCTAGGAGCACCTGGTGGCATCAGACAGGGGAAAAGAGTAAGGAATTGGTCTGGCTATAATCTCCAACTTCTTCTCTCCCCAGAATTTTTGAGATATATGATTGATGTTTTCCTATATCATATGAAAAGCATTATACAAAAGTAGCTTTGAGAGTTGACAAAACTAAGCTATGTGGAAAGGACTCACAATTTCTTCAGAAATTGTGGAGCAGCCATGGTGTTTAGGAGATCTGAAATCCCAGGCTTCCTTCTTCTTCTTCTTTTATGCCTTGGTCTCACAATTCTCTCTTTAACATTACACGTCCAGTGCTACGGATGTTTTGAGACTGTCCTCATTTTTTTTTTTCTTTTTATAAGCATCTCAAGATTGGACTCATTGAATAAGATGAAAGTCTTCTAATCTAACTTAGTCTCAGTTTTGGTAAATTTTTTCTTCCTTACTTTATCCCCATGAATTACTTCTACCAATGATTTTGTTGGTAAAAATTTCTTACAACGACAGCTGTTTAACAACTTGAATTCTTGTTTGAAGAAAAGTTGGTTCACATGCTACATAAAATGTTAACTGTCAACTTCAGAAAAACAGGAGATATTTTTAAATAGTATATATGAAATTGTTCTGGGTGGAAGATGTTTGTTTTTGCCAAGTGCAATAAGAATTTATCAAATATTTTACCATTCAAGCCCCTTTGAAGATTATCTGAATCATGACCCTTCCATTTCCATTACAAGCATGTCGTCAAACATGATATTCTCATAACATCAAGAGCAAAATGGCAACTTCTCATGTTGTACTTATTGCGGTTGTATCCCATATATTCCTGTATATCTTTGTATACTATAAAAGCACAATAAACCTTACAATATATAAAACCCCAATAACTCTGAGACTAATGTATTATAATAATCATTTTCTGACAATAATGAACATTTTTCCCTAAGAAAAGAACATTCTGTACATTATCCAGGGTGGGGCATAGGAAATGAGTCTCAAGGTTATCTCTGGTTCCTGGACATCTATAATTCCTTTTCTGACAAGTTCATTTGTAACATACAATACACATTGATAAGTTATCAGTCATGTGAAAATTTGAAGGAAGAAAAAAAGTACCCATTGAATGAAAGTTCATTAATCTTTTATAACAAGGTTTCAAAGTATATTCAAAGTATATTTTGGTTCTGCTCGCTGAATGTTACATTGAGGACATCTGATCTTTGGCAGACAATGAGGTATCAAGCCCAGGTTTCCAAAAAATAAAATTAAATAAAATGTCATTAAATTCAGCAAACAAATATTTGGAATCGACAAGGTATATGTAACAAAGTTTGTATTTCAAAAAGTAACTTAGCTGTCTTACTTTCATTATACAGAGAAAATTGCACCAAATTCTTATTTCATTCCCCATCCAAGGGCCACTGAACCACTTGCCTAAGTAAGAGTAGCATGAGCATCACTACTAGCAACTGTGATATCCAGAATACTAAACTAGCTTAATGAAATATATCTGCCATTTCCACTTTATCAATAAATGAACAGTATCCAGTTCCTGTGTTATAAATTCACACCCATTTCCCATCAGAATTTTAATTGAAGCAAAATACAGGAAATCAGAAAGATAAAACCACTCTCAAAGACAAAATATCCATGTTCTTGATCAGAAATAGAAACGAAACACAAAGTAGATGGGGCTAGCTGGTTCCAGAAATGGAAGCAAGTAGAGCCTACTGGCAGTTTGGTTTCCAGTGCATGATAAAAACTGAAAGTGCCCCACTGGAGATAGGACTAAGTAAGAATTCACAACCTGAAATG
This sequence comes from Homo sapiens, assembly GCF_000001405.40. Classification (NCBI taxonomy): domain Eukaryota; kingdom Metazoa; phylum Chordata; class Mammalia; order Primates; family Hominidae; genus Homo; species Homo sapiens. The sequence continues at coordinate 78,042,876 of NC_000013.11, read as the reverse complement.
AGGTGCTTCAGTGGGGCTCTCCCTGCCATGATGGAAGCTCAGAACAGTGGTGCTCACCACGTATGTGAATCAATGGTTAGAACTATTATACAATTGCATCACTAGGGGGACAAGAGGAAGTAGATAATGCCAAGAAATGAGGCGAAGACTACACCACCCAATAGCTTGGCATCTGGATTGCACTATTTACAATATTGATGTGAGATAGAGGCCCCCTAGCCACACTACAGACCATGACAGGCTTTCAGTCAAGATGGATCTGGAAACTGATATTCCAAAATTCATGAAGAATACCAATTTAGGAACAGCAGCCATGAGATAAATTCAGTCTAGATAAAATATGAAAATATGATAGAGAAATATGAAAATCAATTTGAAGCATATATGTTAAGGATCTTCAAAGAGATATAAAAAGTACAAGACCACTGGGGGGAAAAAAAGAAAATATAAAATAGCAAAAAAGAAAAGAAAAAAATAGTGAAGTAAAAATCTAACAAATAATACAGTAAATGAAATAAAAAACTAAAACAGAAAACCTCTCAATTGGTTTTAGTAATTGAGACAGCTAGTGAACATAGGAAAATCCTGAGGCATTCTGCCAGAATATTGCAGAAGGATAAAGAGACTAAAAATATTAAAAACTGGTTAATGGAGATGGAAAAGAGTTTGAGAAGACTCAACACATGCTAATTGGCACTCCAAAAAACAAAAAGAAAGAAAGAAAATAGAAAGAATGGCAGAAAAATGATATTTAGAAAGTGAATAGATAAGAACTTTTAGATTTGAAGAAAGATAAACTTAGACCATGAACATCAAGTACCAAGAGGGTTAAATAAAAATAAGCCTGTGTTTAAATAAACCACGTCAAAAAATAAAGGTTATTAAGGGTAAAGAGAAAAATCGTGTGAAGAGACACAGACATCATATTCAGAGACGCATGGAGATAAGGGTGCAGAATAGGAGGAAGGTTTAATGTAGTACCTTGTCTTGTTTAAGAATCAGCAGGAGGCTGGGTGCAGTGGCTCATGTCTGTAATCCCAGCATTTTGGGACACCGAGGCCGGCAGATCACCTGAGGTCAGGAGTTTGAGACCAGCCTGGCCAACATGGTGAAACCCTGTCTCTACTAAAAATATAAAAATTAGCCAGACTTGGTGGCGTGCACCTGTAGTCCCAGCTACTCGGGAGGCTGAGGCTGGAGAATCACTTGAACCCGGGAGGTGGAGGTTGCAGTGGGCTGAGATTACCCCACTGGACTCCAGCCTGGGTGACAGAGTCAGACTCTGTCAAAATAAATAAATAAATAAATAAATAAATAAATAAATAAATCAGCTGGAGATATAGAATAACTTCTGAGTTATAGAAAGTTAGAGTCAAATATGTATGTGATAATAAAATATAAATACAATGTATGGTTTCCAAACTAGTAGAGGGAATAAAGGAGAAAAATATTACCAATTCAATAGAAAGCAAGAAAGAAAGGAAAAATCAAATAAACCATCAAAATTAAGCAAATCAGAAACAAAGAGAAAACAGAAACATTAGTAGGTAGAATTCCAAACAAATGAGTAAGCACAATAAAACTTGGTGGATTAAATTTTCTGATTAAAAGGCAGATTATTGGATGAGACTGTTAAAAAGTAAATACATTTCTAAAATGAAATGACTCAAAAAGTTTAAAAAGAAGAGAAGGAAAACAACACGCCACATAAATAACAAGAAACAAAAATCGAATGATCAATATTAATGTTGGAGACAGAATCTAAGATATTTCTAACAGTGGAATACCATTTGTCTACATCCAAGTATAGAGACTGATTTCATGGTGTTTGCTTCGCCACCAATTCATAAGTACGGCTTTGAAATGAACAGTTAATTTCACAAGAAGTAAGGTTCAACTTTGTGTGTGTGTGTGTGTTTCAGGGGGCTTCTGAAAAAGGAAGGAGCAAAGGATGCTTATGATGACAAGCATATTTTAAAATATAACATTCAAAGCATTTTAAAATTTGACACAAAATGTACTTCATCTGAGCATTGGTTAGCTTTCTTCTCCTGGTGCCATCAAGCTTTTAAAAATAATACTGACTCAAGCTATCTATAGTTGTATTGTGTTTTCAATTAATTTCAGTAAAAGCTCTTGTTCTCCATCTACGCCTGTACCCATTCTCTGTGACAAGGGATGTTTGCAATCTGACTAAAGAGGATTATGTATTCCCACCCCCTAGACTTTGGTTTCTGTCTTGTGACTTGACTTGCGATGGAGTGTTATTGGGTGTCACATGACCAACAACATGAAAAGTGCTTGCATTATTGAGCTAGCTCTCATTCGCCTTTGCCATTGCCACAAGAAAAATATGCTTGTTTGGGCAAAAGAATTCAGCCATCCTAGCCACATAAAACCTACATCAACTCACCTCCAGCTGAACCCTAGACAAAAGACCAAACCCCCTTGAGATCAACAGAGCCATACAGCTGAGCCCATCAGTGAGCCCACAAATCTACGAGATTAATTATGGCTGTCTTAAGTCCCTGGCATTTGTGAGTAGCTGGTTATACAGCACTGTGATAGCAATAGCTAACTGACACACACTGCACTATATTCAACAATCTTTTATTCTACCAAAGATTTTCACTGACAAGTGCTAATTAGAGGCTTAGTATTTGGCTTCAACCATGACCTAATAGCCAAACAGAATTTTTAAAAATCAAAAACTGAATCACAGAACATAGAGTATATAATAACTACATTAAAAAAATGACACTTTAAATTTTCTCTTTCCATAGCATGTAACTCAAGAAACTAGAAAAAGAAGAACGAAGTAAACCTCAAAAAACTAGAAGGAAGGAAATTATAAAGAGTAAAAATCAAAAAAATAGAAAACAAAAAAGCAATTAAAATGTTAATGAAAACTAAAAGTCGCTTGTTTCAATAAAGTGATAAAATAAATACATCTAGCATCACCTATTGAGAAAAAAGAAATTAATTAAAAACACAGTAAAAATGGAGGAATATAAATGCAGAGACAGTAAAGAATAATAAATAACTGTAATGGGTGTAAAAATAATTGGTGAGCTAAGCATTTATGAAATAATATTTTCCACCTTCTCACCTTGACATATACACCCTCCCTAAGTAATCTTCCTTATCCACATAATTTCAATGACTGTATACATTCTAAAAGTTATAAAATATTTACTTCCAGAACATACTTCTAAGATTCAGAGCTACAATTCCGATTACTACTTATTGGACAACTAAAATTGGATGTAAAACAGGATATCAAAACCAACGTATTTTTCCATCTCTACTCTCCTTTCCCCTAATTATTTCTTGAATTTTTCAATCTGGGTTTCTGTCTGGGTTAATGCAATGACCACCTGTTTACACACCAATAGATAAAACCTTAATTAACTCCTCTCACCCTGACTTCATCAATTTGGTAATTTGGTTCTTTGGATTCTTTAATTAGCTTTTACCAAAAAAAATTCTCAATATTTAATAAACAATAGTGTGCAAAATATGTACTGACAATATGAAAAATGTTTTTGACGACAACCTATAATATCCTTATGTTTTATTTAGATAGTGTGTATTTAATATAGTTTTTGTTCTTTAAAAAGACATTTTGCTTTCAAAGAAGTGAATGGTATATTAAAAATGAAACAAAATTAAATCTATGCCTCACTGACCTAAGCTTAAATATTTGCAATGATCCCTTCATAGAGTATTCATAATGCTAAATATTCTTTCCATGTTGCCAAGATAAAGCAATTGAAAAATACTTTAAACCACTTTAAACAAATTTGGAGGAGCAGTGCATTTAGGTGGAAAAAATTGCCTGTTGTTCATTTATTAACATATTTTTCCATTCAAAGTCAGTGAATATTATATCCTAGGTATTGACTTAATGGAGATTACATCTTAGTGCTATGAGACAAACAAATATACAAATACATGTATACTATATCTGTTGGGGATATTGCAATGAAGGAAAATGAAACAGGGTAAGAGAGAAAGAGTTTTGTGGAAGAAGTGGTATACGTAGGGTGGTTTAGGAGGCCTTTCTGATCGAGCGATATTTTAAGCAAAGGCTCGAAGAAAATGAGGCAGCCAGCCATCTGGATAACTGAAGGAAAAGTGTCCCAATCATGAGGGCAGCAATTGCAAAGACCTTGAGTGCTTGGCATGTTTGAGGAAAAGGAAAGCAGTCAATATGGCCAGGAAGAGTAAGTGATGGGGGAGGGGGATGGAAAATGACGTTGGGTAGATAACAGGGGACAGGGGGATTGAAACAGCTGGATCAGTCATGAAAGACCCGACAGAACATGGTTAGAGCATTGCCTTTTTTACTGAGTTAGATGGGACTCTATTGATAATCCAGATACAATTATTTAGGGCATACTATAGTGAATTATCAGAAAGAAACCATATCATGAAATATTTGAACACTCTTGGGTATGTATTTAGTATTTTAGATGTAAATGTACCGGTATGTTTATTGACTATAAAAACCAGAAAAAAAGTCCTTCTACCATACAAATGTAGCTTTCTTTACAACAAACCGGTATTTTTCTTTTAATTATCACAAGACAGTGTTGAACAAAGGTTTTGATTTAAAATAATCAGCCTATTAAACCCACCAAATATTTCTTTCCTGAAAAAAACACATAAAGATATGACAAAGATAAAAGCTGAACAAAAAGCATGAATATTATATTTATGAAAAGAAAATTTGAGCAATATAGTGTGTCTGTATATTATCTCCTGTTGGACAAGCTCATAGAAATTTTATCCACGCAGCTGGCCGTTGTGATCTGCCTTGATTGTATAATAAGCCTTCGGCTAACCAGACAGCAAATAAGCTGAATTACTCACAATGTAGCCCCAGAGAATGGGCGAGGAGACTTGCACACAAATTGTATCATAATGTAGTAATCATACTTTTTAATTAAAAATATAAAATATTTCTCAGTATATTTTTCAGACAGTTCAAATGCTGATGGATCCAATTCAAAACAAGGTATTTGGACACTATACTCTTAAATAATTCTTAAGTTTATTTGTTTCTCATCAACCACTGTTCTACCTACTCTATTTCAATAGTCCCTTTGCCCATCCCCTATCCTCTGCACTACAGTAGAATGTACTCAGGCAGTGACATGTAGAAGTTAAGAGAGGGGGCTTCATTTAAACGGCCTGGTTTAAAATCCCAACACGCCATCACTTAATAGATGAATGATGTTGGACACATTCCTTAACTCCTTTATTTGTAAAATGTGAATAATAGTAGTATTTCATTCACAGTGTGTTTTTGAAGATTAACTATGATAATACATATAACAAGCATTCAACTGATAACTTGAGGATGATCATGATTGCCAAAACAATTTTTAAAATATAAATTCAGTCCAGCCATCTTTTGCTTAAAAAAAAAAAAATCCTTCAACGGCTTTCCATAACCAAGAGACAAATAACAAATCCCATGGCAGGTAGAGTCCCTCATGATTGACAGGTATCTTCCCTTTGAGCCCCTTCCCTCATTGTTCTCCCTATTAAGCACATGTCAGCCACACTGAATTACTATACTTGTACCCCATCACTCCATACATACTACGTTCGTACATACCATTCATTTTATTTGGAATGTCCTCTCTTCACTCTGCTTCTTCTGCCTGGAAAAACTAACATTACAAATTTAACTTAAACATACTTTCTCATTGAGGAGAGTTCCCTGAATTATTGGAATCCCTCCCTCTCTCTCTAGAGGACTCTATGTTTCTCATATCCACATTCTCATTGTTTGGTAGACTGCCAGACATATACTACACTCCTGATTATTGTCTATGGAATGAATTTAGGCTTCAAACATCAGTGAAATTTTTTTCCTAAAGAGAAATTTCTGTTATGAACAGCTATTAGATCTCAGAAAAATTTTAAAGATGTGTTGAGTTTCACTAACACCTCTGCTATCTAAACTGATAGAAATGATAAAACAATAACAACACAGATATGTTTTCTAAGAATGTTGAGAAATAATTTGCATAATAGGCATGTTTAAACACTATTGCTCAAGCTGAAGTTGACTAAAAATTCTTGAACATTGCTATTGTTTTGATGAGAATCATAAAAATAAAGCATAAATTGATTAAATGACAGAATAATAGACAATTAAATGATATAGCTATTCTATTCTTTTTTAAAATATTAGTTTTAGCAGCTATTTAAACTTTAAAGAACAAGCTTGATATATTGTTCCGTAGAAAGCACCAATTTATAGTCTCCAGAGATATTATGAAACTAAAAGTAGCATAAATCTTTAAAAATAGTATTTTTTTTTTTCTCTATAAAGAGTAGTGGGATTTGGGAGTCATCAGTTTTTGGGGGTTTTTTAAAGATATTATAAAGGAATTTGAAGAAAATAAATTCCACTTTAACTCTTTTTTTTTGGTAAATTTTAAAGTTTCCTAAAAGGATGCATGTTTTGAATAACTTCCTTAAAATTTTTAATATGCCAGCTTGATCTAGTCACATTAAAACTTTGGGCATATGATGACTGCAATTTTTAGATCCCTTAACTATGCAAAGGCTAAATAACAGGGTTCAATAGAAAAATAATGTCTAGTGTTTAAGTTATGGAATGCAAAAATATTAAGAATTTTTTGACCACACATAGGACAGGATAATGGGATTCTTGATCCTCAAAGCACACAAAATCATCCCACTATGAATGTCACTGCATGGAAAGACAATACACAAGCTCTTTGTCTCCATGACCTGCCTGAAAATGAGTTTACCCAGCCAAGGCTGTAATTATAGAGCAATTAACTTTCCTTCTTCAGGCCACTTAAAGTTTGAGAGGTGGGCTACTGATGTGGGAGCTAGCTCGTGGCACTGGCAGCTCCCTTTGCCCTCCTTAAATCTCGGGAAAAGTGAAGCGAGTGGTGTCCTGGCAGAGTGAACCTCAATCCCAACCTCATCCCTCAAACTTCCTCTGCACTTGCAATGCACATTGCTTTGTGTAAACTAGGGCAATGGGGAACCGGGATTCACTAAAATAGGAATTGCACCTTCTAGTCAATGAGAATGAGCATATCCTATTCAACATATTGAGAAATATCAGAGCTGTATGAAGATGCTTGTTGTTTAAGCAGACAAACAGGAAACTATGGTACTAAGTGTTCTTACAAGTTCTGGTTAATGCCTGTTCTCCATCTGAGATATGCCAATTATGTTGTGCCTGTGTTGACACTTCTGTTCTCTATGTGGTTTATATATGGGTCTTAAATTGAGTTAATTGTAGCCTGGTTAGTGATATTAGCCATACATATGTACATACACACATTATAATGGTTGGGAAAAAAAAGAACATCTTTGATGTTTGTAAATGATAATATTGAGCATAAAGAGGCTGTCTTTATTGAATGGGAAGCCAACCACAACAACCATCTACGCATAAACATCTGCCTAAGTACACAGTTTACAGAACAAAATCTATTCATAGTCCACACATAAACAAGATTTCTTCCTAAACAATTTTGTCAATATTTCTTGGTACTCACATCTGTAACCAACGAAATTCTCTATATGCTCAAACTGTCCTGTGAGTGTTCCCTTCACTTTCCTTATCTGAGGGAAACCTGTCTCTCCCCTGAAATTCTTTCCCTGGCAGCTCTCTCAAATGGAGCATTTTTTCCTCCCACAGTCACCTCGTCTTAAATCTGGTGATGAGGAGACGTTATTACTGATAATTACCATTTCCAAATGCTTACCTTCCTTACTCCCTAAAAAAGCCTCATTTTTGAAGCTCTTTCTATCCTAAGATTTGCCTCTGTGCATTTCCCTGGGCTATTCCTGTCATTTGTTAAAAGTTTCTTTTAGCAGAGTACTGTCACTCTATCCTATGTGATTGTCATCGTTCTTAGCAATTTCAGTATCTATGTGGACTGTTCTTCCAACATCTTGGCCTCTCAGTTCCTTGACTTCTCTACTCCAATGATCTTGCCCTCTATCCCACATTAGCTACCCACTCTCAGGCTAATATCCTAAATATTGATGTTTCCAATAACTGTACCCCTTCTATTATCTCAGGTGTAATCATCCTACTTTTTGACTAATTGTAATGCTTCCTATTTTCTAGCTCACTGTCTCTAGTACTCAAATTCCAATAATTCTTTGGCTATACTGGAATTTTCTACTTTGTCTTTGACCCTAATTCCATTCAAAATTTTTCTTTCCTGCTTTCAGCTTATATTCCTTCAACTCTGCTTATAACTTCCTATTATATATCCTCAGTCACTTGCTGCTTTGCTCTTAGACATACTCTCCTCACCAAACTCCAAACTTAGTTAGATCCAACTCTTTGCCTACTCCATGTATAACAATGCCCTAAACATTACTGGAAAAAAATACTCAACCATGCTGATCTTAATTTATATTCATTTCTTTTATTTATAGTATTTTTATTCCATCTTATTTCTTACTCTCCAATTTTGACATTCTATAATTATTTTTCTTGCTGTTGATGTTTTTTCATAAAGCCTATGATGACATAAATGAGCCCTCATGTTAACCAATATGTTTATATTAATAAAATCATACAGCACATTTTCTTTTTTGTCTGGCTTCCCCTACTTGGCATAATTATTTTAGATTCACTCATACTGTACCATGTATCAATTGTTTATTCATTTTGTTGGTGAGTAGTATTTTATTTTAACATAATTTGCTCCTCCATTCACCTGTTGATGGATATTTGGATTGTTTCCAATTTTTAAATATTTTAAATAAAGCTACTATGCACATTTATCTACAAGTTTTTTTGGGGCTCAGGCGATCCTTCTGCCTTGGCCTCCCAAAGTTCTGGGATTACAGGTGTGAGCCATGGCACCCAGCCAGATCACATCTTCTTATCACTAAGTAACTTGAAACCCATGAGTGGTAATTACTCAGTAAGATATGGATATACTGCAGTTTGTTTATCTATTCACGTATTGCAGGATATCTTGCTTCCTTCCAAGCTTTGGCAATTATGAATAAAGCTTCTGTAAATATTTATGTGCATATTTTTGTATGAATATAAGTTTTCAACTTATTTGGCTAAATACCTAGAAATGTGATTGCTGGATCTTACACTAAGACTATATTTAGTTTTGTAAGAAACCGACAAGCTGTCTTCCAAGGTGGCTGTACCATTTTGTATTCCCGCCAGCAATGAATGACAGTTTCTCTTGTGCCACATCTTCATCAGCATTTGATGTTAGCAGTGTTTGGATTTTCACCATTATAATATGCATGTAGTGGTGTTGCATCATTGTTTTACTTTGCAATTCCTTAATGACATAATATTCATCATATCTTAATAGCTTCTTTGCCATCGGTATATCTTCTTTGGCGAGGTGTCTATTCAGATTTTTTTTTGCCAATTTTTCAACTTATATAGTTTTTTAAAATTATTATTGAATTTTAGTAGTTATGTGTATGTTTTGAATACAAATCCTAATTTTTTATTGAGTTGATGCTTTATCTGTAGGGATACTGTGAGGTCTGGGGGAACATGTATCATCATTGACTAGAATTGGGCTTGCTTCTGTTATATTCCATGGAGGCAGAACAGATCCCTGATAACTTCAATTTCTTAACTAGATGTCATCTGGACATCTCTGTTGTAGTAAATTCAAATTCTATAGCTGAATGAGAGAAGATTGTAACTGCAAGTTCTTGGGAGGAACCTATTTTCCCATCCTTAGCTGGGGCTGAAACTGACAAAGGCCCCCAATGTATTAGACAGGGCCCACCGGAGAGACAGAACCAACAACAACAGCAAGAACACCACCAAATACATGTATACATATATATACACATATTTTTTTCCTTTTTTTTTTTTTTTTTTTTGAGACAAAATCTTGCTCTATCACCCAGGCCAGGCAGTGATATGATCTCGGCTCACTGCAACCTCCGCCTCCTAGGTTCAAGCGATTCTCCTGCCTCAGTCGCTCAAGTAGCTGGGATTACAGGCACCCACCACCATGCCCAGCTAAATTTTGTATTTTTAGTAGAGATGGGGTTTCACTATGGTTTCCAGACCAGTTCCAGGCTGGTCTGGAACTCCTGACCTCAGGTGATCCACCTGCCTTGGCCTCCCAAAGTGCTGGGATTACAGGCGTGAGCCACCGCGCCTGGCCTAAGTCTGATTTCTCTTATACTTTCACAGTCCTTACATAGTGTAGGCATTCAATAAAGGTTGTTTGAATTTTAAAAAGTCTAATATTGAATGACGAAATAAACGAATGATGAGGCTGACCCTTAATATAGCTAAGCCAAATAGATCTTTATAATAAAGTTTACTTTTAAGTTAAAAGCTTGCATTTTCACTAGTAATTGAAAATACAGCCTTCAAATACAGCTGGGCATTTCTATTTGGGGAATAGCTTGAGAAGCTCAGGAACAATGTTATATATTAATTCTCTGGGAATGCTTGGTATACAACCACCATACAGGTGTTTCCTGTTGAGACTCCAAGTTCCCATGCAAGAACTTAGAGGACAGCTGAGAACAAAACTTAGCCTGCTTAATTATATCTGCCCAGTGTGCTGCATAAAAAAGTCATTGACCAAAAATAACATGTTTAAGTAATGTTCAAGTTGAGATACAGACCAGCAGCAGTCAGGAAATTCAAAATTAAATCTGATCTCCACCCTTCACTTGCCTCATTGTGCCCAGGCAGCACCAAGGTCAGAAATTAATTGGAGAAACTGGAAAACACACAGCCTGCAATATTTCAGCACAGTAAGGTCAAGGGGAAAATTTAGTTAAAACCTTATTACAGTAGTTTACAGAAACATATTACTGTGAATGTGAAATTAGAGTCTTGGCTTGATGGATGTGTCACCTACCAGGGTAATTTGTTGGGAATAATTTGAAAATGTAAGTGAACATAATTAAGCTTCTGTTTTATGGTAGTCTGGTCATTTGTCTCCAGGTGCACTTGTCTCTGTAGATTTGACACTGCAGATGCCTAGAATATAATGAGACATGTTTCATTCACTCAGTTTTAAGTTAGTATTTGGGCATCTGTGGATTAAAAGAGGACCTTAGAGTTGACCATAAAGTTGCAGTTAACATTTTCACGCATAATTTTTTTTCTGTAGAATCCTAAGTATAAGATAAAATCTCAAGGGTAATATTACCTTGAAAACCAGTGGAATACTACAATACTACAGTGAAGCCCTTAGTCAGTCTTCCCTAAAATGAAGGAAGCCACACCCACCTGGAATTATAAATGACTACCTGATTATTCAGTATGTGGAGAAAAGTATTCTCTGAATTTTAGACCATCCTATAGGTATATTAATACTTTTCTTTTAGAAGTCTTTGTAATTCTGGCCAAATTTATCAATGTCTTCCTATTTATTTGAGACACTGCTGCTTAGTGTTAATTGCACTATTTTTTTTAAATACAGAAAACAACATATCTCTTCTTTAAGAAGCTTAAGGAAAAGAGTAAAAGGGAAACAGCTGTAGAAAATCAGAGAGTATCAGAATTTGATTTCTTTCATACAATGCTTAATCATCTATGATATATTAATTGAAGATTGTTATTTGATTTATACTAGAGACTCCAATTATGCCTACAAAGGTTGAAAGTGAAGATAAATATATGGTTAACTCAGAATAGCTGTTTCCTAAATCATCGTTATTTTTCTTTTCATTATAAAATTTAAACTAGAATAAATTATTTTGAGTTCAAATCACCTTTGTTTTTAATTATTCAAAATAAACATTTTCCCAAAAATAGATTTATATAACTTTTTTAAAGGCATATTAATTGATATTCATATTTGTAATGTGTCTTTCAAAGTGAGATTGAACATTTCTAGTACCTTGTGCTCCAATTAACAACTCTTCATGGATGTTGCAACTGCCTATATTACTTGGTATGGAAAAGATAAAATTAACCAGAAAAAAGTACCATAAATTAAATATTCCTTTAAAAGTCAGATTAAGAAAATATATTTCATTGCTCTACAATATTTTTTAAAATACAGATAAATCTAAACTTGTTTCAGAATTAGATCTGTTGTTTAATTTCTATATCACATGTATGAGTTTGACTTCCAGGGTTGCTGTGTTTATTCTTTTCTCAAGAGATCTGGGAGAAGGGCTCATTATGAGGTTGTGCCATGTTGCTAGGCAGACGGGTTCAGCATTCAGATATTCTAGCTGTTCTAGCGACTTTTCAGTTCTCTGACTTTCTCATTAAATTTTTGTCTACTCTCTTCTATACTTCTAAATAGCAGACACACACATAATGATAAATGTGTTATGGGAATGACTAGTTCCCTCACTACCAGGGAGTTACATAAGAACAATTCTGTATTCACCATTTTCAGGCACAAAAGAAGAATAAAAGCCTACCCCAATGTGACCTGCTGCACAAAATACCTTTTGTTATCAACTTAAGTGCTCTTCTGAATCCTCAAACCACCCACTGACAGATTTTCTTTTTCCCACATACATAATTTATAAGTCATCTAATTAATTTTTCATAAGTTAAACAACTGTTAATATTAGTTCCTGGACTTCACGAATGGCAAAAATTAATTTTTTCCCTAAATGCATTTGCAGCGTCTTCTACACTTTCTCCAATGCTATACAGAGCGTTGAATATTTGGAACTTTAAGTTGAGGAGTGGTTTTAGAATTCAGTCTCTGGGCAGACAAAAGCTTCCACACTGTGAGCAAGTCTTAGCGGAAGATTGCTTAAGGGAAAATCCTATACCACATGATATATCACTGACCTTTCTCCTCTGTCCTTGTTACACAGAGAACTGAACCCCTTCTCTGTCTCCATTTATGGAGTATTTGACAATGACTGATAGTTTTGTGTTTTCCATAGCTGCCATTGCATTAAAATGCAGTTGCTGTTACACGAAGTCTCGGAGGGCCACAGAGTAAATCTGAAGGGAGCAGGGAAAAAATAGCACAAAACCTTCATGTGTCAGAATACATCAAAACCCACCATCTCAAATTATGAGTAACTCCTAAGTTTCTGGTACATAGCAGGAATGAGGAACAAGCATTGACTGTAGAAAATAGAACTATTTGAAATACAAACTTGGGATGGTCTCCTGGCTCCTGGGTTGAAGGGGAGAGATTAGATGTTAGACCACATTGAGAGGCTTTGATGGCTTTTTGCTTCTCATTTGGGTCTGAGATAGGACTAAAATCCTCAATTTGAGATCACACGAGGGGCTAGTAACCTGACCTCAAAAGTTAAGTAGAAACCCACTCAAAAAGTGATTAGAAAGTAAAAGAAGCCCTCACCTCCTGCCTCTCCTCTCTAAAGTCACTAAATCCAATGGACACCCTTATGTGTCTCTTGAATCTGCTTCTTTCACACCCATGGCCACTACCCTAGTTTGGCCACCATAATCTCTTCCCTGGATTCGTTCCAACACTGGTAACCTGACAGCCCATCTCTTCTTTCCCGACTCTGTTACACAAGTAAACATCCTGCAGCACAATACTGTGTCTCTATCCTGCTTAAAACCCTTTATTAGCTTTCCAGTGCTCCTAAGATGAAGCTCAAAGCTCTTCAAATGACTTATAAGGCTGTGTGAACTAACATCCTGTTCACACCTTGTTCCAGCGGTGAGAAGGTCTACACAAACCTACCTCCAACAGCCTAGGATGCTGAGACACTGAAGAAAAGGGCTGACAGATACAGTTTCTTAGAAAGAAATATTTAATAGGGACATGTGAACAGAAGCCATGTCTGCATCTCAGTTGACCATGAGACAAGATGGTGGATCCTCTCACTGTTACCTCATATGCTCAGGGCTTATAAACCATAGGGAAGGAATGTGTAGGACAATTGAACTGGACCCCTCAATGAAAGGCAAGAATGCTATGTGAATCTGCCAAAGGTCAGGATGTATGGTCAAGGTTGTTTTGACCTCAGGGCAGAATTTACAGTGACAGTAGATGAAGTAGAAATCTGAGAGGCATTCTCAGAATCAAGGTTAATCAGAAGTCAACATGGCAGATTTGCATCCAAGATGGAATTGCTTTAGTCTTCATGCATTGTAGCTTGGATGTTCCACGTTGAAACATCCTAGAAAACTCCTTCCTTGACTCTGCACGTGGCCACCTTTTCATCAGCACCTGGGCTTTAATACAAACGTAGTTTCTGACCTCTCAGTCTGGGTTACTTGCTTCTTCCATTACATGCTTCCTTATCATTGTTTTTGCTCTCTATAGTGGGCTACATCATACTGCATTATAATTGCTACTTTAGTTGTTACTTGCCTGTTTTACCCTCTACATCACAAAGAATTTAGTTTTCAAACCATGTGAAAGCAATACCTCCCCTTCCAGACAAGGCTATAATGAATCAGGACATAAAACTCAAAGGCAAATTAAGTAACAGTAAAACATTGTTATTATCGGCTTTTATCCATTGACATTCTTATATAAGAAAATATATTTGAATTTATCAGACTATCCCACTTCAATTTTTCTGATTCTTAAACTTCTTTCACATTAATATGTAGTCTTATGAGTTCTCTGAAAAGTTTCTTATATCATTTCATATTTCTGAGTGGTATATGGTAAAGAAGTGGCCTTTAGTAAAGAAAACACAAACTATTTTGTTTTATATTCATTCATTAATAAAGATTAATTACAGGGCTTATTTTATAACTTTTGGACCTTTCAATACAGTTAAAGAAAATTCTTGACTTTTTCCATTTAAGCAATGCATGCTTATTGATTTTTTAAAAATTAATTAAGAAGGAAGCATTACTTGTTCACTACAAATTTTTGTTGAATTTTTTATTATATTATTTTTGTTTGGGGGACCAAATATTTATTAAAGAAGATTGAAATTTATGTGTTATGACATCAACAACAGATAAATTATGGAAGCAGAAATTCTTTACTAGAGCTAAAATAATTATCTGGTTATGTTTTTTAATGATAAAAGAATACATACAAGCAATGGTCTACACACTGCAACTAAAGATCTGCTTCATTTTTTCAAAATAAAAAGCAAAACTGAATATGACTTTCATTACACTTTCTGTTTATAACACGGGTTTAATATACTAGTGACATCTTGATGCCTGATAAGAGGATTTTAATCAGATGTATGAAATGTCCAGATTATAAAGATTATAAGCAATTGTTCAGAATGATTACATTTTATACTTTACACACACACACACACACACACACACGCACATCTCTTAGTTTAACACAATCAAATTTACTTGACCCTTTGTTATTGTCCAATGTATGTGTTCCTGGTCAGCCTACCATCTTCCATGGGGTTATTTTGGAACTCAGGCTAGAGCCTAAGAATCCTCTGCCTATGGCTAGCAGATGAAGAAAAGAAACTAGAGAACATACACTGCCTATAAGTGAGAACAAGGTACACAGCCACACTTGACTGTAAGGGTTGTTGGGAAATGCAGTCCTGGCCTAGGCAGCTGCCTCTCAGTGAAAGGTTTGAAAGGGGACGCACAAATATTTGGTAGATAGTTGCCATCTCTACTGCAAAGAGAGAAAGAGAGAGAGAGAAAGAGACAGAGAGAGAGGGGTAGAGAGAGAGAGACCACGAGCATATTTTTTTTATAATGTGTAGTTAAAGGATGTGACTTTACCAGTAACAAGTTTGTGTCACTTCTTGATGATCTGATAGTGCACTGCAAAGAATTTAGTTTTCAAAAAATCCTCCAGAAAGGGATGTTGAAAGTACTTAAACTCCCCACTCAAATGTGTTACACACCAAATTCTAACATATTAGAGACACCCAGTGGGTGAACATGCACTGCCAAATCTGCTTCTTTTGGAACATTCATTCCATAAAATTTATCCAATTACTATATAGTATATATTCCTTATCAAAATGATGTCATTGATTAGAATGTTCCTAGTTCTACACTGGCTTTTTAAAAAATAATTTAAAACCACACACATTCACTGACTTAAAACAGTGCTGCAAGAACTTTACCACAACCCAGGTGCACTATGATCAATTAAATACTAATTATAACCCAGGCAGGTATATCTTCTCAGCTCACACTTGTATTTGTGCATTAGGAGGAGGACACCAATATCTCATAACTGCATGATATTGTACTTATTTTGTGTTAATTGTAGATTTGGGATTTTTTTGTAATAATGAATTTGAGCAAATATTAGATATTATTCATTATATAACATTCCAGCTTAAGTCTTCAATGATTCTGTACTGATACAGACAACAAATTTACATGCTCTGTGTCAGTTAGTCATGTAGCTTCCCGGTGTGTGCTGTCTTATTACAGGGGAAGAGAAACAGTAGGAACTAGGGCTGAAGATGCTTGTTTTCACACAGAAGAAAAGATCTCGTTTAACTCTCAAGACAAGACAGTTCCACCTCTTGTCTTTACATGGATGAATAACTGAAAGCCAGGTTTTTGCATCATTATCTTTGTATACCTCCTAGCAGCCGGTCACAGTGTCTGGCATGTCATAGGCACATTAGTTTTCTAACAATGAGTTACAACTTACCACAGCGTATTGGCTCACACCACTACCCATTCATTATCTCATAGTTCTGTAGGTCAGAAGGAGGGAGAGATTTAACTGGGTTCTCTGCTTAGAGACTCACATGACCAAAATTAAGGTATCAGGCAAGCTGTCCTGTTATCTGGAAGCTCTGGAGAACAACACACTTCCAAACGCATTCAAGGTGTTCGACAAATTCAGTCCCTTGTGCTTGTAGGACTGACATCCCCATTTCCTTGCTGGCCTGTTTTCTTTGCCATGTGCCTCCCTCCATCTTCAAGCCAGCAATAGTGCATCAAATCCTCACATTTGGAATCTCTCTGACTTCCTCCTCTGCCACCAGGAGAAAACTCTCTGCTTTCAAAGAACTCATGTGATTAGGTTAGGCACACCCAGTAATCTCTTATTTTAATGTCAACAGACCAGTAACCTTACGTCTGCAAAATGCCTTTTGCCACATAGCATAACTTAATCACAGGAGTAACACCACGTGACAAGGGCCATGGGAGCCATGATAGAATTCCACTTAGCACAGTAGAGGTAGGGTTTGTAACTCCGCCCACTGTAGTGCTTTCTAGTGGATATCACCTTGAGGACAAGGGAGAAATTCTTCCTGATGCCCAAGGTACAGGGGTATGCCTTATGTAGATTAGCACTACTTGTCCGAAAGCAAGCATAGTGTTTCTCCTCTGTATCATACAGGGAAACTCCTACTCTTGGATTTATACTGTTGTACCTGGAGAAGCTTCCTGGGACAAGTTGACCTTTCTGTTCAATTCCTAGCATGGTTCTACTTAGGGATCAATTGGTCAAAATTCCTTATAAGTATTCAAAACTTCTTTTCTTCTCTTTCTAAACACCTCCTTCTAGGTAATCTCAACCTGACCCCCAGTTTTAAATACAAGTATATACTGTGACTATACTATATAGTTCTGATTCCTTTTCTGAATTCTATTCCACCTTCTTAAGATGTCCACCTGGATATTTATAAGGTATATAATCCTTCACTCTTATTTTCCACATACCCTAAAGCTGCTCTCAGCCTTCTCCAAACCAGTAATTGGCAATGCCATCAACCTAACTTTTTAAGCCAAAAGCATGAGTCATTCTCAATTTCTGTCTTTCTCTTCCTCTCATCAGAATTCCATCAGCAAGTCTTATCTATGCTATCTCTAAAATATGTTTCAAAACCATATTTCTACTTCTCAATAATAGAATTACATTATCACTATTTTGCAACTGCTAATTTAGAGATCTGAGTGATGATTATCAACAATTGTTAACATCCCAAAAAGAGACACTCAGATATTGTGTACCTCCTGATGGAAGGACATTTGGCAAAGAAAAGAAAAAAAAAATAAACCTGAAGCCAATTAAACGTTTAGCTCTAACTTGTTACAGAAGACACAGGGGATAGAGGAACACATGAAATGACACCCTTATGATGCAATTAGGTAAGTCCAAATTGACAAACACTCTTAATGAAGCCACACAAATTCTTTAATGAATAAGTTACAAGGAAAAGAAAATAACAAGAGAGACATAAATGTCACATCAACCAAATGCAATATATGAACATAAGGACCTTGACTCAAATAAATCATTAAAAAGTCATAAGACAAAGAAATTTGAACACTGACAGGATATTTGATAACACTAGGGGAGGGGGAATAGCAGATGAAGAGAGGATAGAACAATTCATATCTTACTAGCATAAATAAAAGATAAATATTTAAGGTGAGGTGCATTCCAATTACCGTGATTTGACCTTTAGACATAATATGAATGTATCAAAATATCACATTTACCCTTAAAATATGTACATCTATTATGTATCAATAAAAAAACATACATACATAAAATTAGACACATTAGCAGTAAAGTTGTACTTGATAAAAGTTGTTATGATTAAAATCTAACAGAAGGACTGAAAAAAAGGTAAGGATTATTGTCCATGTTTAGGCATAAATTAGTATTGTATTCAAAATATAAATCCTTGTCTATTAAACATTTATATTGTAATATTTATGGATGAAATGATATAACATTTTATATTTGCTGCAAAATAATCTGGAAAAGTTGGTGAGCTATATAAGAAACAAAACTGGCAACGAGTTGATAATGGTCAAATGTGGGTGATGGGTGTGTCAGAGTTTATTTTACGATTTTTTTCTAAATTTGTATGCATTTGACATTTTCTTTAATAAAAAGGTCTTTAAGACATTCACTTCTTGCCAGTTCCACTATTGCTGCCTCATCAGTGCCACCATCCTCTCTTACCTGTGAGGCATATGAGAGCGCCCCTCTGGGTACTCCCTTTACCCATGGTAGCCTCCTTTAATCCATCCTCTTCATAACAGTCAGAGTGATCATTTAAAACTCAAATCAGCCAGGTGTGGTGGCTCACGCCTGTAATCCCAGCATTTTGGGAGGCCAAGGTGGGTGGATCACCTGAGGTCAGGAGTTCGAGACCAGCCTGGCCAACATGGTGAAACTCTGTCTCTACTAAGAATACTAAAATTAGCTGGGCATGGTGGCGTGTGCTTGTAATCCCAGCTACCTAGGAGACTAAGGCAGGAGAATCGCTCGAACTCAGGAGGTGGAGGTTGCAGTGAGCCAAGATTGCACCACTGCACTCCAGCCTGGGCAACAAGAGAGAAACTCCGTCAAAAACAACAACAACAACAAACTTAAATCATATCCCATCTTCTTCACCTTGTCTCCTTTAATGACCTTCCCCACACTTCTCATTCAACTGAAATAAAATCTAAACCCCTGACCCACAAGGTCCTTTGTAATCTGGACCCTGAACGTCTCTTCAGACTCATCCTACGTGTCTCTTCCTGATACTCTTGCCACCCGGAGATTCTTTCTGTCTCTCAAACATGCAAGCTATTCCCTTCTCAGGGCCTTTGTCCAAGCAATTCCCTCTAGCTGAAAGACTCTTCCCTGAGCCCTCTGAAGGGCCTGCTTCTTCCTGTTCTGGTTTCAGGGAGGCCTTTCCTGGTACTGCTAAGAAAAATGAGCCATTCTGTCATTGTCCATCACACAAGTCTGTTTCTTTGCTATTCTTTTATCACTGATATTTAGGTAGCCAGTTTGTTCATCTATTTTTACCCACTAAAATATAAGTCTTATTTGCACAAAAAAGAGGGCCTTTTTCTATGATGTCCCCTGTACCTAGAGCTGCCACTCAACAAATATTATTTGAATAAATCAATGAATTAATTTATACAAGATCTAAGTTTCTGTTTCAGTTCTACATTTGTGTGAGTCTTGTTTTAGTTAGTATGTGACCAGGAAGACTATACAGAAGAGTTCAGCTCTCCTCTTGTAGGCCTGTGACTTTGGGAATTAGCTTCTCCACGCCTCTGCCTATTTCTCTGTAAAAGGAGACTTCTACTAGATTATGAACGTTAAATCAAATTTTATTCTTCATCTACCTATATTCCAAGTACCCCTTTCTATTGTCAATAGTACTTAACACATTTTAAATTACATGTGTATTTATATTTATTTAAGTTATATACATTATATAATTAATATCTACCTCATCCTAGCTGTGAGAGCAAGGACCATATTTGTTTTCACTTGCTGTTGTATCCTAGTCAGTATCACAGTAATTGGCACATTCTAAGCTCAGTACTCATATATAGAATAAGGGAATAAGTGAGTAAGTGTTTACCTATACTACGCCCACTATATAACAATTCCTCAATAAAGAGTACTTTTGTTATAATGGAAATGGTGGCAGTTCTCTTAGCATTCACCCAAAGGATCAGGTGAATTAGGCCATACAACCAGATCTTTGAAATGGTCATGAATCTCAAATGCCCTTGTTGCAGGCAAAGAATTGGATGATAGGTTTCCCACACACCCACTGTAATCTCTGGTGCCAACACTCTTGGTTTGACAGCTGAATTCTCACTTCCTTCGTCTCTGAGCCTGCCATGATCATCTAAGTCAGCTGGCCTGTGTGGCTCACTGCTTTCACTTCCTGTTTGCTTACTCATTATTAAACCATTTCCTGACTTCTATGTTTTACCTCAGCCTGGGAACCTAAAAATGACTTTTCTTTGATTATTACCTGGCTTTCTAGGGCTTAAAATCCTGCCCTAAACTCTTAAGTGCACTACAGCTTTCTGACAAGAATAAAATAATGAAATAGAGTAGTAGAAACGAATACAATCCTCTTCTTTTATAGAATAAAATAGTAAGGAATGCTTCCTGGTACCTAACATATTTGGTTAGATTACAATATCACATTGCTATATTTCATAAAAGCATTTTATTTATACTGCCTATTAAGTGCATTGGCATCAAAATGTATTTTTTATTGTACCTAACTGGATTTGTGTTTAAACTTTTTTTGCCCCCATCCACCTTAGATTGGCCCTTACTAAATATATTTTTTTAAATGAACCAATTTTCTCAAGCCCATTTTGTATTTTGTTTCTGATTTCTAGAATATTGGCACTGTCACTTAGCATATTTTCTCTCAATTATAATTTCTATTACTTTCATTCATTGAAATGACTATGAGTTTGACCAGTATGTCTGTCTAAATTTGGAGAAGATCAATTATGTTAAATATATCAAATATTTGAAAATGGGATTAAAGAATCTTTCAATAACAGTAAAATGTTCTCTCTCTTGAAATAGATCTGAATTTGCCTACTATCAGAGACTTAAATGTAGAATAGACAAAACATAAGAAAAATTATTTAAGGAATATTTATTTATTACCTACAAGGACTAGGTTAACTGATACAGGATATGCTTTTTTAGTTTTACTTTGTGATTTTATGATTCTTATTTATAGTGTCTCTAGGACTTTCTATCTGGATACAATTCATTTAATTGCATCCAAGTTATTATCCTATTTAACACACAGGAGTTTTCATACTAATGTAGCATACTGATTTAACATTCCTTTTAAATACCATTTCATAATCTTAACTTTATTTCTAGAAAGTTGATAAAATATCTTAAAGCTGGGTTATGTACATGTCCCACTCAAAATTTATATAGAAGGCACAAGAAATAGCTTCATTCACTGCAGAACAATTTTGACATCTTTGATAAGAAAGCAAGAAGCCAAACTGCACGCTGGGATCATCTATCTTGAAAACAGTCCATGTTTTCACCCAGAGTCATCTGCAAAGACGCACAGACAGCTGCAGACCCGTCCTGCCCAGAGACGAGCCTTCCACAGAATCCTGATGAGGCTGCTGCCTGTAGTCCGTGGGGTAATGGCTGACCTCTGACCCTGCCTGACAGCCAGCACTTTTGTCATCTTTCTGTGCAACAAGTCAAATTAGGCTATAATTGCTGCACAGACAATGGGCTGTAATTACACATTCACGTCCCAGAGTCTGGTAGGAGGGAGATGATTGCGGCTGGAAGTGGACAAGGAGAAGTCAAAAAGTCAAAAGACAAACCACTTTTTGATACTTTTCTCCAAAGTGTGGCTATACTGTGGACTCCTCAAAGAGGAGAAAGAATCAAACGACACCGGAGAGCAACCACTCTCATTCAAAATACCATAAAGACATTAATTTCATGGACTTTAGTAGGTGTGATACACCAAAGGTTATGTGACTAATAAATAAAAGCAAGGACAACTATGGTTCCCACGACTATGGTTCTCTGCAACAACTACTTTGTTTTTGCTATTCAATTTTTTAATTCTGGGAGTTATTCATTAGGGTGAGCCAAAGTTATTTTTAAAAAAATTTAAGCCCAATTTTTAAATATGCAAAACATTTACAGTAGCAAATTAAGTAGACTGAACAGCTTAAAAACACCCATAAAAGCAGATCTGCCTTTGCTGCCTTTGAGACCATCTGCAAAATTATTGGCACCTTTCACCATCCCTATCCAAAGTTGTGGATCTACCAGGAAAGTTATAGTTTTCTCAGGAATGAGATAACTTGTATTTGTTTCTGACATTTCTTTTCTGACATTTGCTTTTCCAGCATCTTCTTTTTTTTTTTTTTTTTTTTTTTTGAGACGGAGTCTTGCTCTGTCGCCCAGGCCGGACTGCGGACTGCAGTGGCGCAATCTCGGCTCACTGCAAGCTCCGCTTCCCGGGTTCACGCCATTCTCCTGCCTCAGCCTCCCGAGTAGCTGGGACTACAGGCGCCCGCCACCGCGCCCGGCTAATTTTTTGTATTTTTAGTAGAGACGGGGTTTCACCTTGTTAGCCAGGATGGTCTCGATCTCCTGACCTCATGATCCACCCGCCTCGGCCTCCCAAAGTGCTGGGATTACAGGCGTGAGCCACCGCGCCCGGCCTCCAGCATCTTCTTGAATGCCTTTAGAGCTAAACACTTGCCTCCTAATGAGGCAGCCCATGACATCTTGAAAGAGCGCTGTCTGTTAAAAATATCTTCCTCATGTTAAAAAAAATATGCTCTGGCTTAGTTATCATTCATTCACCCTAACCTTATATCTTGTATACCAGTCCTTGGTCACATTCCACTTGGAAAATCATTTAATATTTAAAGATAGCTATAATGCTACCCCACCCTCACCCCAGCAAACATTCTTTGTTTGTTTTCTCTATGACATGACTTCAACTCTTAGCAATCTAATATGAATATATATCCATATGCTTTAAGGCACCTAGAACTTAAAACAATATTCCAGAGGTGATCTGATCAATGCAAAGAGTCTGGCACTGTTTGCATCATTATTCTATTGTTCTGTTAATAAGCCTGTGATTACAGAGTTTCTCTGAGCACCCACGCCAAAGTGTTGTCTCTCTTGAAGCTTACCATAAGCCAAAGCCTCAGAGTGTTTGATCTATATGCTAAACCAAATGTATATCTTCTCTCACCTGTTTTTACTTTGCTTTGTTGGACCTAAGGGCCAGTTCTTACATTTATCTTCATTAAATTTCATATTGTTCACATCAACCTAATAATACCAACTTTCATTATCATCCTAGATCCTGATTCTACCATTCAAAGTATAAGTACCAATCAAATGTTATTAGTAGAATAAATTAAGCAAAACTGTCAGTAATACAAATGATCTATACTTTTGTACCAGTAACTTAAATAAAAATTATAGGATTATACAGTAAGTCATTGGGACTGCCTTCCATATTTCATTCAAGGAAACAGTTAACTGAAGTAATCAGAGCCAAAGTCAACACTAGACATCTTCTGCTAACATGATATTAATCCAGTGTTGGGGCATATGGCCTTGTAGTCAAACATTTTTTTTTTCACATTTCAAGAAGTAAAGTTCAATACTATCTTCCCACCCTGACCTTGTCTACCTCCCACCCTGACCTTGTCTACCTCCCACCCCTTCCTCGTGGCCACTGTTTCCTCCCCAAATTGCAGAAAAATCAGGAAAACATTATAGCATGATTGAATAAAGATGAAGATCAAAGTAAAGCCAGATGAATTGTCATGACCATGATTTATTCAACCAGGAAAAATGGCAGTGGGGGCAGTAATGTTGCAGAACCTTCAATTCTGGTTGTTACTGACTGAATACTCTATGGAAGATAATGACCTCTCACTCTAGGAAAAAGAAAAACCAGCCGGGCACAGTGGCTCACGCCTGTAATCCCTGTACTTTGGGAGGCCAGGGCAGGTGGATCACGAGGTCAGGAGTTCAAGAGCAGCCTAGCCAAGATGGTAAAATCCCGTCTCTACTAAAAGTACAAAAATTAGCCAGGCGTGGTGGCTGGTGCCTATAATCCCAGCTATTTGGGAGGCTGAGGCAGGAAAATCACTTGAATCCGGGAGGCAGAGGTTTCAGTGAGCCGAGATCATGCCACTGCACTCTAGCCTGGGTGACAGAGCAAGACTCCGTCTCAAAAAAAAAAAAAAAAATTACCAACCATAAAATGTCCAGGACAAGATGGATTCACAGCTGAATTCTATCAGACATTCAAAGAAGGATTGGTAACAATCCTATTGACACTATTCCACAAGATAGAGAAAGAGGGTATCCTCCCTAAATCATTATATGAAGCCAGTATAACCTTAATACCAAAACCAGGAAAGGACATAACAAAAAAAACAAAAAGAAAACTACAGACCAATATCCCTGGTGAATATAGAAGCAAAAATCCTTGACAAAATACTAGCTAACTGAATCCAACAGCATATCAAAAAGATAATCCACCATGATCAAGTGAGTTTCATAGCAGGGATGCAAGGATGGTTTAACATATACAAGTCAATAAATGTGATACACCACATAAAAAGAATTAAAAACAAAAATCACCTGATCATCTCAACAAATGCAGAAAAAAATCTAGCATCCTTTTATGATTAAAATCCTCAGCAAAAATGATAAACAAGGGACAAACCTCAGTGTAATAAAAGTCATCTATGACAAATCCACAGCCAGCATAACACTGAATAGGGAAAAGGTAAAAGCATTCCCTTTCAGAATTGGAACAATACAAGGATGCTCACTCTCACCACATCTATTCAACATAGTACTGGAAGTCCTTGTCAGAGCCATCAGGCAAGAGAAAGAAATAAAGGGCATCCAAATCAGTAAAGAGGATGTCAAATTGACTGTTTGCATATGATATGTTTGTATATCTAGAAAACCCTAAAGACTCCTCCAGAAAGCTCCTAAAACTGATAAATGAATTCAACAAAATTTCAGGATGCAAGATTAATGTATACAAATCAGTAGCTCTGCTATACACCAACACAAACCAAGCTGAGAATCAAATCAATAATTCAATTCTTTCTACAATAGCTGCAAAAAAATAAAATAAAATACTTAGGAATATACCTAACCAAGGAGGTGAAAGACCTCTACAAGGAACACTACAAAACACTGCTGAAAGAAATCATAGATGACACAAACAAATAGAAAAACATTCCATGCGCATGGATGGGTAGACTCAATATTGTGAAAATGACCATACTGCCAAAAAGGAATCTACAAATTCAATGCAATTCACATCAAAATACCACCAGCATTCTTCACAGAACTAGAAAAAACAATCCTAAAATGTATGTGGGACCAAGAAAGAGCCTGCATAGCCAAAGTAAGACTAAGTAAAAAGAACAAATCTGGAGGCATCACATTAACTGGCTTCAAAATATACTATAAGACCATCATCATCAAAACAGCATGGTACTGATATAAAAACTGGCACATAGACCAACAGAATATAATAGCGAACCCAGAAGTAAAGCCAAATATGTACAGTGAACTGATCTTCAACAAAGAAAACAAAAACATAAAAGTGGGGAAAGGATACCATATTCAACAAATGATGCTGGGATAATTGGCAAGCCACAAACTGAATCCTTATCTCTCACTTTATACAAAAATCAACCAAGATGGATCAAGGACTTAAATCTAAGACATGAAACTATAAAAATTCTAGAAGATAACATTGGAAAAACCCTTCTAGACATTGGCTTAGGCAAAGGCTTCATGACCAAGAACCCAAAAGCAAATGCAACAAAAACAAAGATAAACAGGTGGGACTTAATTAAACTAAAGAGCTTCTGAACAAAAAAAGGAAAAGTTAGCCAGCAGAGTAAAAGACGACCCACAGAGTGGGAGAAAGTCTTCACCATTTACGCATCTGACAAAGGACAAATATCTACAAGGAAGTCAAGCAAATTAACAAGAAAAAAACAATCCCATCAAAAAGTGGGCTAAGGACATGAATAGACAATTCTCAAAAGAAGATATACAAATAGCCAACAAACATATGAAAAAATGCTCAGCATCACTAATGATCAGGGAAATGCAAATCAAAACCACAATGTGATACCACCACCTTACTCCTGCAAGAATGGCCATAATCAAAAAATCAAAAAATGATAGATGTTGGTGTGGATGAGATGAAAAGGGAACACTTCTACACTGCTGGTGGGAATGTAAACTAGAACTGGTACAACCACTATGCAAAACAGTGTGGAGATTCCTTAAAGATCTAAAAATAGAACTGCCATTTGATTCAGCAATCCCACTGCTGGGTTTCTACCCATAGGAAAAGAAGTCATTATACGAAAAAGATACTTGCACACACATGTTTATAGCAGCAAAATTTGAAATTGCAAAAACATGAAACCAGCCCAAATGCCCATCAATCAATGAGTGGATAAAAAAATCGTGATATATATATATATATATATATATATATATATATATATATATATATATATATATATGCACACACACACACACACACTGGAATACTACTCAGCTGAATTAATGGCATTTGCAGCAACCTGGATGGAACTGGAGACTCTTATTCTAAGTGAAGTAACTCAGGAATAGAAAACTAAACATCACATGTTCTCACTCATAAGTGGGAGCTAAGCTATGAGGAAGTAAAGGCATAAGAATGATGCAATGGACTCAGGGGAATGCAAGGGACTTTGGGGACTCAGGGGAAAAGTGGGAGGGAGGTGAGGGATAAAAGACTACAAATCGGGTTCAGTGTATACTGCTTGGGTGATGGGTGCACCAAAATCTCGCAAATCATCACTAAAGAACTTACTCGTGTAACCAAATAACACCTGTTCCCAAAAACCTATGGAAATTTTTTAAAAAATTAAGGCCTTAAAGTCAGTACAGTCTGACTTTTCTTTACACATTTTTTCAGTGTAAAATATGTGTCTAATATCAAAATATGGAAATAACATGAAAAAATGGGAAAAAGAAAAATGCGTTATCTAACATCACTACTTGTTAATAACTATGGTTAATGTTTTTATGATATCTTTTCAATCTTTTTTCCTACCTAGTCTTTAGAAGAAGAAAAAAACTAACTTGGGGATCTTATGTAAAGCGTTCCATATCCTGCTTTCAAGTGTTACAGTGTTACACTTCTTTCACTTACCATAATGTCATGTGTTTTTCATGATATTTGTAAGCATTATTTTTAATGGCTATGTTATTCTTTAAGTGCAAAGACAAGAAATCCCTTTACTGGTTGATATGGTTTGGCTCTGTGTACCCACCCAAATCTTATCTTGAACTGTACTCTCATAATTTCCACATGTTGTGGGAGGGACCCTATGGGAGATAATCGAATCATGGGGGTGGTTCCCCCATATTGTTTTCATGGCAGTGAATAAGTCTCAGGAGATCTTATGGTTTTATCAGGAATTTCTGCTTTTGCATCTTCCTTCTTCTCTCTTTGCCTGCTGCCAACTATGTAAAGTGGGACTTGCTCCTTCTTGCCTTGCACCATGATAGTGAGGCTTCTTTGTAAGTCCAATTAAACCTTTTTCTTTTGTAAATTGCCCAGTCTGTCTTTATCAGCAGTGTGAAAACGGACTAATACACTGTTCCTCTATACTTTTACTTACAGTTTGTTTCCAATTGTTTGTTATAAATTATAGTATGGTGAACATATTGAGACACAATTTGTTCTCATTATTTCCTAATGATATATTCTCAAAAGTGGAATTACTGGGCCACAGTGATATATTAAGCAGCATAGCAAGGTTAACAGACAATTTAATTAAAACTCCAGATATATGACTTCTAATTCCAGCATTTTTTTTTTCTAAATTACTTTGTAACATTGGTTAAATGGGTTCATTGCTCTGGTCTTCAGTTTCTTCAGTTTCCTCACCTACAATATAAGAAGGCTAGACTAAATTATTCGTGTTTTAGGGTGTCTACCTTTGTTATCTATGAGTGCATAACAAATTAGCCACAAAATGTTGTGGCTAAACCAACAATTATTCTGTTATTTCTGAGGATTCTGTGGGTTGACTGTGTCTCAGCTGTATCTTCTCCTGCTGGTCTTGCTCATAGCTCCTTACACAATTGCAGTCAGATGGGAGCTCCATATTCAATATCCAAGATGGAATGTCCAAGATGGATGCACTCATGTACCTAGCACCTTGGCAGGGATAGCTGGGATCAGCTGGGATCCTAGGAAATCTGGGCTTCCCTTTCTCTCTCCCTACAGCCTCGGGGTGTCCCCTCTTCATATGACCTCTCTGTATAGTATTTCCATGTTGTCTCTCCATGTGGTCTCTCCTTCAGGGCAACAGAACTTCTTATGTGGAAGCTCAGGCTCTCAGAAGTTCAGATATATCATCACTTCTGCCACCTTCTCTTGAAACAGCAAGTCACAGGATCAGCCCAGCTTCAATATGAGAGGGACAATGCAAAAGCATGGATACTAGAGGCCATCTTTGGCAAATAGCTATCACATAGTATCTGACTGCAATAGGGTCCTTAGAACTCTAGGATTTTAATGATTTGAAAATGTGCAATCCATATGTGGCAAGTGCTATGATGGTCTATGTATCACATTAGGGACAGTGTAGTGAATCTCTCTTATCAAGGATGTTTATTTTACTAGAACACTCAATTTATCAGCTCTTCCGGGAAAGAAGTGAAAGTATTCACAGAAAGAATACTGGAAGCATTCTTTCACTTTTGGGAAAAAAAATAGAGAAGATTTACTCTACTTGTGTTAAAATAATTGCACTATCCTCTTTGTGCTGACAATCTCTACATTTACATGTTAGCTGTCTGCTGCACAGAAGGTATACATCAATTGAACCGCCAACACCCTACCCCAAGAAGAGTACCTGGTGGAAGATCCAACAGTATCTGGGAGTAATGGAGTTTTCTCGCATGGAGTTCAGAAGATGGTAATTCTGACTGGGTTTTACTGACACTCCACATGATTGGGGAAACCAAAACAAGATTAACCAGAAATGAGCCTTCGGAGTGATGAAAAATTAATCTCTTCTGCCCACCCTCACCTAATAAAAGATTCTGTTCCTTTCAATAGATTGATTTTATTATGCAATAGCTGAGTATATACACTAAGCCCCATAGAACTGAGATTTCCAGGCTGTGATAAAACCAAATAACCATTGTTACAGACAGATAACAAAGCCAGACTCAATAACATTTTATTAATCCTCAATGCCAAATTATAAATGCTTGAGAAAAATATCCTTTTTCTCTCATACTATGGGAAAATGGCAGCTTTTTATTAAGTCTATCTCTTAAAAGTTAAACATTTGCTCTTTTTGCTGCCTAGCAGTGAGAACTGAAGCTTCCAGAGTGTTTTATTTATTTATATGGCATTTGCCTTGACATTGCCCAAGTAATAATACATAGTAACAGGGACAGATGAGAGTTCTGTATCATCCCTTCCCTCAAGGCAAACCAGGCACAAATAGACCTCTAATGAAAAAATCCACACAGCAGAACAATAAGTAACAGGGAATAAAATGAGAAAAACAGTTTCTAAGCACAGCCTTTGAAAATTACAGAAGAGAAAAATCTACTCAAAGTGGAGTAAGGCCTCTTCAGCTTTCACACTATACGGTGGGTTTTAGTTTCATTACTTGATTCTTTAGCACTAACCAGTTTACCTCTAAATCTAATATCACCTTTTTTGGCTTCAAGGAATAGCAATGACTTCAATGGTGCTTTATTCATAAAATGGTACTTGCTCCTAAGTAGCAGCTGAAATAGAGAATTTTTTGTATAAATTTAGAGGGTACAAATGCCATTTTGATTCATGGGTATATTGCACAGTAATGAAGTCTGGACTTTTAGTGTAACCGTCATCCAAAGAGTGTATGTTGTAATTTCTCATCCTTCATCCCCCTTTCTCATCCTTCACCCCCCCAACACACACACAATTCCAAGTCTCCATTGTCTATTTTTACACACTGTGTATGCATGCATACACATGACTTAGTTCCCATGCATAACTGAGAATATGTGGAACTTGACTGGTTTTGAGTTGAAATATAGAGATTTTTAAACAAAATATAAATGTGATTACCCCAGATGTGCTTATTTCCTGCAAAGCAACTACCAAGTTATTCAACAAATACCCCGTGATTGCCAACTATGTGCCAGACACCATGCTAGATCCTAGGAATACATGAGAGAACAAGATATTGTTTTTGCCCTCAGGAAATGTTAGTCCAGAAGAAGCAATAGACCACTAAGCAGGCTGGAGCCCGGGAAAGTGATATCCAGCCAGTCTAGAGCTTCAGGGAAGGATACCCAGAACTAATAGCTTCTGAGATAGGAAAGATTCAGGAAAATTGGTCAAGGAAAGAGGAGTGAGGTGAGTGACCTGTAGGTGGCTGTATGGGTACTGGCCTTCAGGGAGGAAGTTTCAGGCAAAGGAACATGAAGTATAAAGGTGCTAAGAGCCAAAGATAGCTCTGGGGGACCTCTAGACTTCTTAGATTCAGAAGCTAACACCTACCAGCGTGTACTTCAAAATATTCCATTCTATTTTATGACTGAGAACAGAAATCACACATCCTTAAGGAGCCCTAAATGTTTCACCAATGGGTACATGCCATTAGTGTTTGTATCCTTATGTAAGTAAATCATGTTTCACCAGCTTGTCTCCTCACTGAGGACCTCTTGTTTTCCGCAAAGTCCACTCCCTTGACCTTGTGCCATTATTTCTGTAGATCATCAGAGGGAATTAAAACTGTCCTCATATATCACTGGTTCTCGACCAGGGATGTTTTGCTTCCCAGGGGACATTGGGTTATGCTGATGATAAAACATTTCTGGGTAGAAGCCGGGGATGCTGCTAAATATTCTTTAGTATGTAGGACAACTACTACCTCAAAGGAGTATCTGGCCCAAAATGTCAATAGACAAGTGCTGTGGGCCATCAAAAGTACTTCTGGAATGTTAGCCAAGTCTAAATGCAGGACCTCTTATCTGGTATTCCATCCATTGGGCTGTTTGGAGCTACTCCCCAGACCCTGGGGCTACAGGCCTCCCATCATCTGCTCTTGAGTTAGTGTCACTGATAGCTTATGCCATGTTGGGTTTCTTGCCTCTGATTCCTCCACGTGTCCTTAGCCTTTGCCTCCAGAGGAGTTGCTTGCCCAGTATCTGCAGTTCCCACAGGTAATATGGCTTAAGTGGGCTTCATGAAGACATACAATAATAATTAGGCTTTCCAGGGCGTGTATTCTTTACCATATTTTGTTCTAAGTGCTTTAAAGGCACAATTTCCTTTATCCCTAAAGCAAAACAATAATTTTTATTTATTTTACAAACAAAGCTGTCAACACTGATAGAAGTTAAGTAGTTTTCCCATCTTACACTGCTAATTTTAAAAACCTGAGGTTTTTACCTATCAAACCAGCTCTGTTTGACTCTTAACCTGTGCTCTCAATCAGTTCACTAAACTGCATGAATCCCAGACAGGTGTCCATCCTCCATGATTGGCTTTGGCTTAGCCAAAGTCCGTAAATAGACTCTTCTCACATTCCCTAAGGCTCATTCTAAAAGAGACCCAGCTTAACTAAATACTAGCAAATAATACAGTTTGTGGAAAAACGAAAATTTTTTTCACTGTGATATATGATTAATTTCCTTTAAACTGTATTTGCTTTTTCTGCAAGGCCCATTTTTAACCAAGTTTCTGTCCTCCTTAACTGCACTGATCTGTCCAGTACACACAATCTCTATAATCTCTTTTATTGTCCTAAGCAATTTAGCTTTGACTCTCAGCTTTGTTCTATTGTCCTGAGCAATTCAGCTTTGACTTTCAGCTTGCAAACCTCAAGTGAAAAAAATAAAGAAAATCAGAAGTAAGATGTTTCTTTCCACCTTAAAAAGCATACCATCCATTGTTTCTTAAGAGTGTTGAGGGTTTCTGTCTCAGACCTCATCAAAGTCTTCATTCAAAAAATTTTTTTTCTTTATAGTATTTAGGGAATAGGGAAAAGAGGGAGGTTCCATTGTTAATTTTTAAAAAATTCTTTTTATAATTTTTGCATATGTAATTTATCCGACCTCTGAATTAGCTTTTAAGATTTGCTCCACTGAGTGTAAGTTCCTTAAGGAATAATGGTAATCATATAAGTCACTACTCATGATGTTCTAGACACTGAACTAATTCATTTATGTAAGACAAAGGTCAGCGAACTACAGACCACAGGCCATATGTGATTCATTGCCTGTTTGTGTATGGCCCACAAGCCAAGATGACTTTTACATTTTTAAATACATAATACTTTAAACTAAAAAGTGTTTAAAAACAAATGAAAGTTTAGAAAGCATATTCTGAAAAGGATCAGCTATTATAATGATATGAAGATATGTGCCATACACTGTAATTTTCTATTTTTATAAATTTTAAAACAAGTTATATCTTGATGTGAGCTTGATAAGGATCTCTCCTCCTCTCTACTGCTTTTTTTTCCCAAATAGCTGTGAATTCCAACTTCTTTTTATGAAGTACAATTTAAAATGTCAAGCCATGTAACGTAATTAATAAAATTGACTTTCTTTGTATTCTCTAGACATTTGTTTAAAGAAGAAGAGTAAAGCAAGATAATTATCAGGGTAGAAGTGGAGTTGCTACTACATGGCCAAGAAAAGTGTGAATGTGCTGCAGTGATTGGTTGATCCCAAGGGCAACACATTCAGCCAGACTGAAAAAAAGCAGGAAAGGAAAAGAAAGAAGACAAGGGATTTTTTTTTGTCCTACTGAGTCTCTGTATGTTCTTTCTGGCTGCCTGTACCCCTTCTCAATGGCATATTATCTAGATCTTTTCCTTAATGCTTCAGTTCTATTTCTCTGCCTATGTAAAGTTTCTCTCTCACACACATTTTGGGACCTCAAGTTCTACTCTGACCAATAAAATTTTGCAAATGTAATTATTATAGGTCATTCTTGGAAATATAACACTATCTAAAGGAACCCATCTCTTATGGTGGAAATCTGGTACATGGTAGGCAATGAGAAAGCTTTTCCTAGGAAAGGGGTGCTGCTCAGATCACCCCTGAGGGCTTAATTGGTCATCTGTGCTGTTGAAGATGGAGCTGACTACATCACCTGGGTTACTGAGACTATAAAACAATAGGAGAGGGGAAAAAAGGAGAAGAAGAGAAATCTCCTTTTTGCTTACTACCTATAAAACATTTCTTTTGCCTCTAGTGGGAGGTGTGTGAAAAAAGGATATACTTCATATATACAATAATTGGGGATGGGCTGGAGTAGGAGAGGTTCCAATTATTATATGGCATATATTAAGTTT
The DNA here is from genome assembly GCF_000001405.40 of Homo sapiens. Classification (NCBI taxonomy): domain Eukaryota; kingdom Metazoa; phylum Chordata; class Mammalia; order Primates; family Hominidae; genus Homo; species Homo sapiens. The sequence goes on along the minus strand of NC_000013.11, from coordinate 78,009,305 downwards.
ATTTTATTGTGAATAATTTTGCTTGTGAGGCACTAAAAAAGGGAGGGAGAAAATCACATCTATTATCTCTTTGCAGTTATAGTATAATAATAATGGTCATATAATTGGTAACTTAGCAATATATTACAGTGTTATCTTCAATTTGCCTTTCTAATTTATTTAATATGACCAGATTTTAAAAAAACAAAATCCATAACCCAACACATGCTCTTTCAAGGATTCTGCTTATGGAAAAATACAGAACCCTAATATATTTGTAGAACTTTCTAATACCCTGCCTCATCTATGTTAAATATAGATTTTTTTAAAAAAAGAATATAAATCTGAAAGTGTGCTTATGACTAGTAATGTTTTAGGATAAAAAATTTATTTAAAAGTCATTAAACTTTAAATGCTTTATTCTTGTAAACTCTTTATGTACTCAACATTTTCTCTTGAAAAGAAATGTGTGAAATAAGGACAGAATTCTTTTTAAAAACTGCTGACATGAACTGTGTCATGAAATACATGCCTTCAGAAAGCTCACTGCTTTAACTCATCAGAGAAAAACTAAGCTTTCACATAATTTCCATTTAATGTTATATTAATTGCATTTCCTTAAGTTATAAAAATATGTAGGATGCTGTAAAATATATCACATGCTCAATATGGCTCTGGAGGGATATTGCTTTAAGCCAAAGAAGCAACCCAGGGTGAAGCTACAGGACTAGCAACAATTGGCTACAGTTGAGGGATCCAGTCCTCAAAAAGTCAATACCAGGAAGACAATCATCAGCCATAGGGAGGTATTTACAAATGAGAGTCCCAGCCTGTGTGGTGGGATTTAGGCATGAGCCTCTAGGACATTTTAGTTGGAGATGAGCCTGACAACAGCAGGGGTGATCCTACAGGGAGAGATGGAAAATAGGACCCTGTGAAGTACTAACAAGTCTGAAGTCTAATTTCCATAAACAGAAATGAAGTTTCCCAGAATAAGGCTAAAACCTAGTTTCCAGTGCTGGGTCAAACACTGATATTGGATTACAACACGAGTGCCTGAGTTCCACAAGTGTAGATCAGATTCTGAAATTCTTTCTCAACAAGGCTAAGATAGGTCTTAGAAGCTTGGATGGAGTTGAGACTGCAAGGGACAATTAGGTAGTCCCAGCTGTGGGAAAAGGCAGATGCAATGTTCAAAGCTGCACAATCTCTGACAGCAGAAAATCAAATGCACATGTAATTATATTTCTTACTGGGGAATGGAAAAGATGGTATTGCATGGGAAACTTTTAAGGATGGGTGGAATTGAGATACACAAAGAAAAGAGGGAAGGGGCATTCCAGGTGGAATGACTAACATAAGCAATGAGATAAGGAGTTGTTGTCGAGAAATGACAAACTTTATTATGTGGTTGAGCGAAGGGTGATCAGAAATAGGATGGGCCCCTGTGGTGATAAGTGAGGGTTTGAGGAAGCTGCATTTGAGAAATTACAGGTTAATAAGGGGTGAAAGGAGGAATACATGGAAGCAGAATGGGCCCAAATAATGACATGCTTTGGATGACAGCTTCAGGAACTTAGGGTTTATCTAAAGGCACCAGTTGGCATTCAATATTTAGGGAGGGAATTAATTGAACTTAACTCTCTTTTGGGAGGGTAACTTTGGAGACAGTGTGATGCATTTGCATTCTAGTGGTAGCAAAACATAAGTCTCAAACTAGGAGAGAGCAGTAGCAGTACCACAAATCATTTGAAGAACTGTAGCTTCAGTAAAAAATGCATAATTAAGACAACTCAAAACAGTTAAAATTCAAGAAGAAAAACATCTGTTCCCAAATTCTATCACTTGATAAGACGTTCCAGAATTTCCCAGATGCTCCCAGACCCACCACCAAGATTCTGATTAGCAGCTCCTGGACGGGAGCTGGGAATCTCCATTTCGAACAATGATTTAGGAACAATAGCTGCATACAATGCTTAGTGTCCACCAGGTCAAGTGGATAGAAAAGACATAGGTGGCAATTGATTGACCTGGAAAAGTTCACACTGTTGTGTTCTATTTGTGATCACTCTTCAAATGTGTACTATTTACATACTTTTTTCTACATATTTTAAGTTTCAATCAAAGTTTATTAAAATACAGAAATTGAATAGAGTGTTTGAATAACAAAATGAGAATTTAAATTAGTACTTACTTTAGTTTTTATGTTCTAATTTAATATTTAATTCTGTTAATCAATAGAAACATAATGCGATGGCTAGTTTTCAACTTGACTGTGCTACGAGATGCCCAGATAGCTGGCAAAACAGCATTTCCAGCTGTAACTGTGAGGGTAATCACAATATGGGCAGGCATCACTAAATCTTTTGAGGGCCTGAGTAAAACAAAAAGTGGAGAAAGGGCAAATTTACTCTGTCTGAGCTAAGACATTTATCTTCTCCTGCTGTATGACATCAGCACTCCTGGTTATTGGACTTAGTACAGGTTTACACCACCATTGCCTCCCTTCTCCTCACCACCCATTCTCAGACCTTCAGAATATGACTGAATCACATGAGTGGCTTTCCTGGTTCTACAGCTTGCAGACAGCAGTCTGTGAGACCGCCCAGCTTTCATAACCACATTACCCAATTCTTATAATAAGTCGCCTCTTCTACATATATTTATATGTATTCTAATGATTCTGTTTTTCTTGAGAACTCTAACATACATACCTATGTGGAAAATTTGGATCTTCCAAATATTTAGAATTCACCATTTTTTGAGTATGATTTCGATATTGTCAAACATTATATTTATTAAGTTCACAATAAAACCATCAAGAAACTGCTTCTTTTTAAATTTTTTTTATATTACTTTAAGTTCGGGCATACATGTAGAGAAGGTGCAGATTTGTTACATAGGTACACATGTGCCATGGTGGTTGCTGCACCTATCAACCCATCATCTAGATTTTAAGCCCCACATGCATTAACTATTTGTCCTAATACTCTCCCTCCCCTTGCCCCCCAACCCCCTACAGGCCCCAGTGTGTGATGTTCCCTTCCCTGTGTCCATATGTTCTCACTGTTCAACTCCCACTTATGAGTGAGAACATGTGGTGTTTGGTTTTCTGCTCCTGTGTTAGTTTGCTGAGAATGATGGTTTCCAGCTTTATCCATGTCCCTGCAAAAGACACAAACTCATTCTTTTTTATGGCTGCATAGTATTCCTTGGTGTATATGTGCCACATTTTCTTCATCCAGTCTATCATTGATGGGCATTTGGGTTGTTTCCATGTCTTTGCTATTGTGAATAGTGCTGCAGTAAAGATGTGTGTGTGCATGTGTCTTTATAGTAGAATGATTTATAATCCTTGTTTTTAGGATAACTAGTTAATGTATCTTCTAAGTGTAAGGTGATGGCAATTCTTTAAAAGAAGAATTGATAGGACTTGGTGACAAATCATAGTACAAATTGATTATGGAAAAGAGAACAAAAAGATTTCTTGGCAGGTACATAAACATGGTGTCTATTTTAAATACTTTTGAAGTATTGATCCTCGTCTCACATGTAATAAGAGATGCCTCGCAAATATCTGTTGAACTGAAACGTCCATTAAGAAATTGTAGGACCAAAAGTTGGGAGAAAGAGACAGACAGCTTTGACCTATATTTTTAAGGATAATAACAATAAAAATGCAAGTTAATGTCATAAGAATTGATAAGCCTTCTGAGAGAGAGAGAGTAGCTTCAGAGAAGACAGTCTGCCTCACAAGATAGCACAATTCTCCTGAGTTTAAAACTCCTATGTGGGCCAGGCATGGTGGCTTCATGCCTGTAATCCCAGCACTTTGGGAGGCCAAGGTGGGTGGATCACCTGAGTTCAGGAGTTCAAGACCAGGCTGGCCAACATGGTGAAACCCCGTCTCTACCCAAAATGCAAAATTAGCTAGGCACGGTGGCAGGTGCCTGTAATCCTAACTAATTGGGAGGCTGAGGCAGGATAATCGCTTAAACCCGGGAGGCAGAGGTTGCAGTGAGCCGAGATTGCACCACTGCACTCCAGCCTGGGTGATAGAGTGAGACCCCATCTCAAAACAAAACAAAACAAAACAAAAAATCCCATAAAACTCCTGTGTGTTCCAGAGACCCCTATTAAAATGCAGAGCATCTAATGAGCTAACAGGGGTTTAAACAGTACCAGCCAACACCTCAGAGAGACTTTGCTTTTTACTGAAATAGGCCACCTAACAATGTCAAGGCAGAGAAAGAAGCTTTTGGGCAGTAAGTGTGTGAATGATGAAAGGAAGCTGCATTTGAATTGGTGAACTCAGTAAAACAAATGACCCTCCCCAATATGCACAGACACCACTAAATCTTTTGAGGGCCTCAGTAGAACGAACAGTGGAGAAATGGCAAATTTACAGTCTCTGTCTGAGCTGGGACATTTATCTTCTCCTGCTCTATGACATCAACACTACTGGTTCTTCGACTTGGTACAGGTTTACACCACCATTGCCTCCCTTCTCCTCACCCCCTAGTCTCAGACCTTCAGAATATGACTGAATTACATGATTGGCTTTCCTGGTTCTACAGCGTACAGACAGAAGTCTGTGGGACCTCCCAGCTTTCATAACCACATTACCCAATTCTTACAATAAGTCATCTCTTCTACATATATTTATATGTATTCTAATGATTCTGTTTTTCTTGAGAACTCTGATTAATAGACATACCTATGTGGAAAATTGGGTCTTACAAATATTTAGAATTCACTGTTTTTTGAGTATCATTTGAATATGGTCAAACATTATATTTATTAAGTTCACAATAAAACCATCAAGGAACTGCTTCTTTTTAAAATTTTTTATATTACTTTAAGTTCTGGGATACATGTGGAGAAGGTGCAGGTTTGTTACATAGGTACACATGTGCCATGGTGGTTGCTGCACCTATCAACCAATCATCTGGATTTTAAGCCCCGCATGCATTAGGTATTTGTCCTAATGCTCGCCCTCCCCTAGCACTCCACCCCTCAACAGGCCCCAGTGTGTGATGTTCCCCTCCCTGTGTCCATGTGTTCTCATTGTTCAACTCCCACTTATGAGTGAGAACATGCAGTTTTTGGTTTTCTATTCCTGTGTTAGTTTGCTGAGAATGATGGTTTCCAGCTTCATCCATGTCCCTGCAAAAGACATGAACTCATTACTTTTTATGGCTACATAGTATTCCATGGTGTATATGTTCCACATTTTCTTCATCCAGTCTATCATTGATAGGCATTAGGGTTGGTTCCAAATCTTTGCTATTGTAAATAGTACTGCAATAAACATATGTGTGCATGTGTCTTCATAGTAGAATGATTTATAATCCTTTGGGTATATAATCAGTAATGGGATTGCTGGGTCAAATGGTATTTCTGGTTCTAGATCCTTGAGGAATCGCCACACTGTCTTCCACAATGGTTGAACTAATTTACACTCCCAGCAACAATGTAAAAGCATTCCTATTTCTCCACATCCTCGCCAGCATCTGTTGTTTCCTGACTTTATAATGATCGCCATTCTAACTGGCATGAGATGGTATCTCATTGTGGTTTTGATTTGCATTTCTCTAATGACCAGTGATGATGAGCTTTTTTTCACGTGTTTGTTGGCCACATAAATGTCTTGTTTGAGAAGTGTCTGTTCATATGTTTCACCCACTTTTTGATGGAGTTGTTTGTTTTCTTCTTGTAAATTTGCTTAAGTTCCTTGTAGATTCTGCATGTTAGCCCTTTGTCAGATGGGTAGATTGCAAAAATTTTCTCCCATTCTGTAGGTTGCCTGTTCTCTATGATGATAGTTTATTTTGCTGTGCAGAAGCTCTTTAGTTTAATTAGATCCCATTTGTCAATTTTGGCTTTTGTTGCCATTGCTTTTGGTGTCTTAGTCATGAAGTCTTTGCCCATGCCTATTCCTGAATGGTATTGCCTAGGTTTTCTTCTAGCATTTTTATGGTTTTAGGTTTTACGTTTTAGTCTTTAATCTATCTTGAGTTAATTTTTGCATAAGGTGTAAGGAAGGGGGCCAGTTTCTGTTTTCTGCATACGGCTAGCCAGTTTTCACAGCACCATTTATTAGATAAGGAATCCTTTTCTCATTGCTTGTTTTTATCAGTTTTGTCAAACATCAGATGGTTGTAGACATGTGGTGTTATTTGTGAGGCCTCCGTTTTGTTCCATTGGTCTATATATCTGTTTTGGTGCCAGTACCATGCTGTTTTGGTTACTGTAGCCTTGTAGTATAGTTTGAAGTCAGGTAGCAGGATGACTCCAGCTTCATTCTTTTTGCTTAGGATTGTATTTGCTATATGGGCTCTTTTTTGATTCCACATAAAATTGAAAGTTTTTTCTAATTCTATGAAGAAAGTCAATGATAGCTTGATGGGAATAGCATTGAATCTATGAATTACTTTGGGCAATATGGCCATTTTGATGATATTGATTCTTCCTATCCATGAGTATGAAATGTTTTTCCATTTGTTTGTGTCCTCTCTTATTTCCTTGAGCAGTGGTTTGTAGTTCTCCTTAAATAGGTCCTTCACATCCCTTGTAAGTTGTATTCCTAGGTATTTTATTCTTTTTGTAGCAATTGTGAATGGGAGTTCATTCATAATTTGGATCTCTGCTTGTCTATTATTGGTGTCTAGGAATGCTTGTGATTTTTGCACATTATTTTGTATCCTGAGATTTTGCTGAAGTTGCTTATCAGCTTAAGGAGTTTTGGGGCTGAGATAATGGTGTTTTCTAAATATACAATTATGTCATTTGCAAACAGAGACAATTTGACTTCCTCTCTTCCTGTTTGAATACCCTTTATTTCTTTCTCTTGCCTGATTGCCCTGGCCAGAACTTCTAATACAATGTTGAATAGGAGTGGTGAGAAAGGGCATCCTTGTCTTCTGCTGGTTTTCAAAGGGAATGCTTCCAGCTTTTGCCCATTCAGTGATATTGGCTATGGGTTTGTCATAAATAGCTCTTATTATTTTGAGATATGTTCCATCAATACCTAGTTTATTGAGAGTTTTTAGCATGAAGGGGTGTTGAATTTTTCTGCATCTACTGAGATAATCATGTAGTTTTTGTCATTGGTTCTGTTTATGTGATGGATTACATTTATTGATTTGTGTATGTAGAATGAGCCCTGCATTCCAGGGATGAAACTGAATTGACCATGGTGGATAAACTTTTTGATGTGCTGCTTCAAAAAGTTCAGTTTGCCAGTATTTTATTGAGGATTTTCACATCGATGTTCTTAAGGGATATTGGACTGAAATTTTCTTTTTTGTTGTGTCTCTGCCAGGTTTTGGAATCAGGTTGATTATGGCCTCATAAAATGAGTTAGGGAGGAGTCCCTCTTTTTCTATTGTTTGGAATAGTTTCAGAAGGAATGGTAGCAGCTCCTCGTTGTTCAGGTATGAATTGTCTGGTCCTGGGCATTTTTTTGGTTGGTAGGCTGTTGATTACTGCCTCAATTTCAGACCTTGTTATTGGTCTATTCGGGTATTCGACTTCTTCCTGGTTTAGTCTTGGAAGGGTGTATGTGTCCAGGAATGTATCCATTTCTTCTAGATTTTCCAGTTGATTTGCATAGAGGTGTTTATATTATTCTTTGATGGCAATTTGTATTTCTCTGGGATCAGTGGTAATCTCCCCTTTATCATTTATCATTTTTTGTGTCTTTTTGATTCTTCTCTCTCTTCTTATTACTCTAGCTAGCAGTTTATCTATTTTGTTAATCTTTTCAAAAAACCAGCTCCTGGATTCACTGAACTTTTGAAGCATTTTTCATGTCTCTATCTCCTTCAGTTCTGCTCTGATCTTAGTTATTTCTTGTCTTCTGCTAGCTTTTGAATTTGTTTGCTCTTGCTTCTCTATTTCAATTGTGATGTTAGGGTGTCAATTTCAGATCTTTCCCACTTTGTGATGTGAACACCTAGTGCTATAAATTTCCCACTTAACATTGCTTTAACTGTGTCCCAGAGATTCTGGTACATTTTCTCCTTGTTCTCATTCGTTTTCAAATAACTTATTTCTGTCTGTCTTATATCATTATTTACCCAGCAGTCATTCAGGAGCAGGTTGTTCAGTTTCCATGTATTTGTGCAGTTTTGAGTGAGTTTCTTAATCCTAAGTTCTAATTTGATTTCACTGTGGTCTGAGAGACTGTTATGATTTCCGTTCTTTTGCATTTGCTCGGAAGTGTTTTACATCGAATTATGTGGTCAATTTTAGAATAAGTGCTATGTGGTGCTGAGAATAATAAATATTGTGTTGTTTTGGGGTGGAGAGTTCTGTAGATGTCTATCGGGTCTGCTTGGTCCAGAGCTGAGTTCAAGTCCTGAATGTCCTTGTTAATTTTCTGTCTGCTTGGTCTAATATTGACAGTGGGGTATTAAAGTCTCCCACTATTATTGTGTGGGGGTCGAAGTCTCTTTATAGGTCTCTAAGAACTTGTTTTATGAATCTGGGTGCTCCTGTATTGATTGCATATATATTTAGGATACTTAGCTCTTCTCGTTTCATTGATGCCTTTACCATTACATAATCTCCTACATTGTCTTTTTTGATCTTTGTTGCTTTAAAGTCTGTTTTATCAAAGAGTAGGATTGCAACCCCTGCTTTTTTTTTTTTTTTTTTTTTTTTTTTTGCTTTTCATTTGCTTGGTAAATATTCCTCCATCCCTTTATTTTGAGCCTTTTTGTGTCTTTGCACGTGATATGGGTCTCCTGAATACAGCACACTGATGGGTCTTGACTTTATCCAATTTGCCATTCTGCATCTTTTAATTGAGGCATTTAGCCTGTTTACATTTAAGGTTGATATTGTTACGTGTGAATTTGATCCTGTCATCATGATGCTAGCTGGTTATTTTGCACATTGGTTGTTGCAGTGAGAAACTGCTACTTTAACATCACGAACAAGAAAATATGATGTCTTCTTTCACCACAATGCAAAATAAAACTAAAAACTAATTAAATGTATAATTTTATATATTTTCATGATTAAAACTGAAAAGAAGTTAATAAGTATTTAATGCAAGAAGTCACAAAAGAAAAAAGGGATAGTAAGGCAAAGTAGGGGAAGATAATTATCAACAAGTTTGGAAACAGGAAGAAAAGAAGATTTATGTGAATAAAATAGTGCTTTTTGTCTTTGTAGTTATCTATCACTCCAGTATACAAAAATGGCTTGGCAGAGTTTAATCAAATTAAAAAGTATGTATTACATGGCACTTACAAAATTAAATGTATATGTGTCATATTAAGCATGTCATGAGTTAGGCATTCATTCCCCAGAACACTTGTAATAGAGGAAGGTACAAGAGGCCCACAAATTTGCAAAATGGGGAAGATATGCCATGAAAATTAATTTGCATTGGGAAGAGACAGCAGATAGTGGATCACATGCAAGTCATGAAATAGAAATCACATTAACTCATGACATTTTACTTGACAATGAGTTGCTTCTCAAATAGGTGATGTAAGTTGTATGCTTTAGGTGACAAATAGTTAGAATTTATGCTTGTTAATGGTTTTCCTAAGCAGTTAAGTAATTCTCATACAACATAACCCCAATTTTAAGGAAAAACAATCAAATCTGCACATGCACAGAGCAATATATATATATGTTTATATAAATATATTGTTCTATATATGTAACAAGAATTCTGTAGTGCTTTATTATGTATATGTTTATATATAATTATATGGGACATCAGCACTCCTTGTTCTTGGATTTAGTAATATATAAAATATATATATAAAATAATTTTTATATATGTATATTATATATATGTAAGCACATATATAAAAAATTATAAATATAAATTAAATATATTAAAAATATAAAATAATTGTAAACATATATAAAATAATTATGTACAAACATATACATAATAAAGTATTTGTATCTAATATATAAAAACCTTTAACACGTCAATGAGAAGAAACAACATAATCAAAAATCGTCAAAATTAAAAAGATCATGAATAACAAGATTTGGTGAGGTTATAAAACATGAGGAAGTCTCACACACTGTTGGTGGGAACAGTCTGGTTGTTTCTTATGGAGTTATAGCTACACTTAAAACACTGAGGAATCAACCTGCCTAGGTACACAAGATAAATGTAAAGATACAGCCACACAAAAACTTGTACCTGAATGTTCATAACATATTTATTAGCCAAAAACTAGAGGCAAGTTGACCTTTCTTCAAATAATTAATAGATAAACAACAAGGATGAATTTCCAAAATATTATGCCAAGTGAAAAAGCCCAGACACGAATTCATTTATCTGAAATTGAAGCCAATAAGTGCTCTGCTGACTGAATGCATGTCAGGGTTTTCCAGAGGCTGGGAAGGGCTAAAAGGAATTGACTGCAGAGGGATACAAGGACACTTTTTTGTGGCGATAGAAATGCTCTAATCTGGATGATGGTGGTAGTTACATGACAGCACATTTGTCAAAACCCCTCAAATTTACACTTAAAATAGATAACATTTCTTCTATATACATTATTCCACAATTAAACTGATTATTTTAAAGTCTGCTTAGATGGATAATCTCCATAACAATGGATATTTCCTAAATGCCAAATAGCTAAATGAATTATGAGTTATCTTTTAGTCACTGAAATTTTATCCGCCCAAACTGAGAATTCTTTTTGAAGACTTTTAATTGGAAAGGTTAAACAGACAAAATAATTCTCATACAACATAATCCCAATTTTAAGGAGACACAATCAAATCTGTACATGCACAGAGCAATATCTAGAAGAAAATATGAAAGCAGCATTAACAGTTATTTCTCAATGTGATAGTATTAGTGATGATTTTATTTTCTTCATTTGCTTTCCTATGTCTTTCTAACTTTACATAATATAGTTGTATTACTATTTTAAACAGAAATAAATGAACAAATTTTTAAAAAAATTTTTAAGAAACTCTAGCTTACAGAATGAAAATAAAATGTCTTAGAATGGCATCCAATGCCCTCTCACCTCTAGCTCTGGCCTCAGTCTCCCCCCTACCCCCACAGAAATTATACCCTTTCCCTGCCATCTGAATTCTGTCTAGGCTTCCAAGTCTTTGTATGTGCTATTTGCTCTTTGGGAAAATGCTTGTTCTCACACCTCATCCATCTCAAACCTTCTTGTTGTCCTTTAAGAATCAACTCAAGTACTCCCTCTGTTCTCATTTGGAACAGTTTTCTACCTCCAAATATTAGTATATGCTATCATGCTATGCCTATGATACAGGATCACAGATTTCCTTTTCGGTATTGGGTAGGATTGACTAGGGGGTAATAAATAACTCCTAAATTTCATGTGACTTGCCACAACAAAGCTTTTCTTCTTTCACGTTTCCATGTCCCACATGAATTTGCAAGAGGCTTTGTTGCACGTGGTCTCTCAGAACCTCAGGCTGTTGGAAGTTCCATCATCTTGTAGCTGCTCCCAGTGGCAAAGAGCAACCAAAGAACTACATGTAAGTGTTTCACTGCTTCATCCCAGAGAAGGCACAATATCAATATTGCCCACATTTCATGACCATATCATATCATATTAGCCTCCCTACTGGTAAGGAAGCTGGGAAATTTGAGGGAATATGAGCTTTACTGTCTCTACCACACTTCCACCACTTGATGAGTTCTCAAAAGATGAGGACTGTGCTATGCTCACTCAGCTTTGTATCTCCTGCACTGAATATAAGGCTTGGCTTTTAGCAGATGCTTGAGAACACGTTGGTGAATGAATGTATAAATGAAAGTATATTGTGTAACTTAAAAATAAACAAAAAGATATGTTCCTGAATGAGAGAAGCTGAAATTTAGTAAGAAATAGTAAACATTGGGAAAAAAGTGCATAACTAAGCATTGATCTATACTCCAACTTCAACAGATGGAGATCTACAGACTTAATGGTATGCCTCAAAGTGATTGAGTAGAATTTAGACCAAATAAAAAAGGAAAAATTTGAGGAAGGAGAATGTAAATTGGTAAAGGGTAAAAGGTAACCATGACCATAAGAAGTCTGTGGGAATTTCAGGCAACTGACTGTGGTATACTGAACCCAAAAGATGCCCATATCCTAATTCCACAACCTGTGAATTTTACCTTATATAGCAAAATAGACTTTATAGATGTGCTTAAGGATCATGAGATGGGTAAAGTAGCCTGGGTTATCCAGATGATCCTAATAATGTAATCACAAGAATCCTTTAAAAGGGAACAGGAGATCAGAGTGAGTAGTAGATGTGATGACAAAAGCTTAAGATTGGAGTATGGTGAGGAAGGGGCCACTAGCTGAGGAATGCAGGCAGCCCCTAGAAGCTAGAAAAGGCAAGGAAATGGGTTTCCCCTGAGCCTCCAGAAGAAACAGACACCTTGATGTTAGCCCAGTGAGACTGATTTTGAACTTCTGACTTTCAAAACTGTAAGAAAATACATTTGCATTGTTTTAAGCCATTAAGTTTGTGGTAATTTGTTATAGCAGCCACAGAAAATGCACTCACTCATCAATCTCCCTAGAAAATACAAAGTTTGTCCAAAAAAATAGAAATAAAATCCTACAGGTAAGATTAAGAAAGACTGGTAAAGACAAAAAACATTGAACCAATTAGAACACAAAGAAAAAACTAACATTATGGCATGCAAGTTGGCAGTAGGCACAGTCTTTGGTACTTCTATCAACGTTTTCTCCATCTAGTCCTTACATCAGGCTGCATGGAGGTTCATGTCTCCATTTCACAAATGAGAATGTAGTGGTTCTGAGAGTCTAAATAAGTAACCTAATGTTCACATGACTAATACGTGGAGGATTCAAGATTTGAACTATGTCTCATTCACGTCAAGATGAGGTAGAAAACAAGAATACTATTCCTAACAGTGTGATATAAATATTTACTATGTAAAATGATTTCCAACGCACCATTTTGACTGATCATTACAATAATCCTGCAAGAAAGGCAGGGCAGGTATTGTTCGTTATATTTTGTGGATAAATAAACCGATGCATTGTTCAAAGTCACAGAGCTATATAGTGGCAGAGCTCAGTGCTACTGAGGTGAAGTGAGGAGGTGAAGGGAAGGGAATCAGTTTGCACTTGCCATAGGGATCACATGGGAGCTGGAAGATTCTTGTATTTTTGTTTGTTTTTATTTATTATACTTTAAGTTCTGGGACACATGTGCCATGGTGGTTTGCTGCACCTATCAACCCATCATCTAGGTTTTAAGCCGCTCATGCATTAGGTATTTGTCCTAATACTCTCCCTCCCCTTGCTCCCCACTCCCTACAGGCCCCAGTGTGTGATGTTCCCGTCCCTGCGTCCAAGGGTTCTTATTGTTCAACTACCACTTATGAGTGAGAACATGTGGTGTTTGGTTTTCTGCTCCTGTGTTAGTTTGCTGAGAGTGATGGTTTCCAGCTTCATCCACGTCCCTGCAAAAGACATGAAGTCATTCTTTTTTATGGCTGCATAGTATTCCATGGTGTATATGTGCCACATTTTGTTTATCCAGTCTATCATTGATGAGCATTTGGGTTGGTTCCATGTCTTTGCTATAGTGAATAGTGCTGCAATAAAGATGTGTGTGTGCATGTGTCTTTATAGTAGAATGACTTATAATCCTTGTTTTTAAGATAACTAGTTAATGTATCTTCTAAGTGTAAGGTGATGGCAATTCTTTAAAAGAAGAATTGATAGGACTTGGTGACAAATCATAGTACAAATTGATTATGGAAAAGAGAACAAAAATATTTCTTCACAGGTACATAAACTTGGTGTCTATTTTAAATACATGTAAAGTATTGATCCTCGTCTCACATGTAATAAGAGATGCCTCACAAATATCTGTTGAACTGAAATGTCCATTAAGAAATTGCAGTACCAAAACTTGGGAGAAAGAGACAGATAGCTTTGACCTATATTTTTAAGGATAATAAAAATAAAAATGAAAGTTAATGTCATAAGAATCGATGAGCTTTCTGAGAGAGAGAGAGTAGCTACAGAGAAGACAGTCTGCCTAACATGACAGCACAATTCTCCTGGGTTTAAAACTCCTGTGTGCCTGGGTGTGTTGGCTCACGCTTGTAATCCCAGCACTTTGGGGGGCCAAGGTGGGCAGATCACCTGAGTTCAGGAGTTCAAGACCAGCCTGGCCAACATGGTGAAACCCCGTCTCTACCCGAAATACAAAATTAGCCAGGCATGGTGGCAGATGCCTGTAATCCCAGCTACTTGGGAGGCTAAGGCAGGAGAATCGCTTGAACCCAGGAGGCAGAGGTCGCAGTGAGCCGAGACTGCACCACTGCACTCCAGCCTGGGTGACAGAGTGAGACTCCGTCTCAAAAAAAAACAAAAAAAACAAAAAAACAAAACAAAAAAAAACCAGAAAAAAACAAAAATACATAAAACTCCTGTGTGTTCAAGAGACCCCTATTAAAATGCAGAGCATCAAGTGAGCTAACAGAGTTTTAAATAGTACCAGCCAACACTTCAGAGAGACTGCTTTTTACTGAAATAGGCCACCTAACAATGTCAAGGCAGAGAAAGAAGCTTCTGGGCAGTTAGTGTGTGAATTATGAAAGGAAGATGAATGGGAGGTACGAAGGTGGGAAAAACAGACTGAAGTAGCTTGTCACTTCTACCTAGGACCAGTCTTGCTTTTAAGTATAATGAATACCAGGTAATCTTATCAACATTTCTATGATAACTACTAGCCCAGTTTATTTTAGTCAACACTCAGCTCTGCTTAGAATGTCAACTATATTTTTAAGAAGCAATGAATTCTTTCACAATTCAAAATGTATAGATAGGTTAAAATGCTACTATTTTGGAATGTAGACATTGGCCTGGCCTTGAGAATAAGAGCATTTTCCATTTTTCGGATGTTTAGCCCATGTCCCCTACTGTATGTTGGCATGTGTCCAACCCTGCAGCATGTGAGTGAGTGGTGACCACACTCATTTACAGGAGCCCAGGCTCTGACTGGATGATGGTCTGAGGTTGCATGACTGGTAGTCACAGACTTGGGACAGATCTGTCTGATTCCAAAGTCTCCGTCATATTGTCTTCAACAGTGTGGCTATTTTTATTTTTGAAATAAGTCGAAATCCAAGACAGAAAGAAATAAGAGACGGCAATACATTTCTAAACCTTCCAGCAGCTGCTATCCAGCCTAGCATATCATAGGTACCTGTTTTGTTTTGTTGAATTGAATAGGTAAACTTCTGGCTGATTTTGAGCCTGTCCTGACTCTTTTGTGGTAACAAGCTCCCCAAAATAGTTAAATGAAGCTTTAGCACAAATCCTCATCTGGAAAAAATGTACAAAGTTAATGATTCAAGAGTAATCATTATTGAAGTAATTTATAAGAAAATATTGCCTGATAGGTTGTCTAGCAAGAGAGAGGCTCAACACCTCCTTGGTGGACTACATGCCAGGCGCGGTGGCTCACTCCTGTAATCCCAGCACCTTGGGAAGCCGAGGCAGGTGGATGCCCTGAGGTCGGGAGTTTGAGACCAGCCTGACCAACACGGAGAAACTCTGTCTCTGCTAAAAATACAAAATTAGCTAGGCATAGTGGCGCATGCCTGTAATCCCACTTACTCGGGAGGCTGAGGCAGGAGAATTGCTTGAACTCGGGAGGTGGAGGTTGCGATGAGCCGAGATTGTACCATTGCACTCCAGCCTGGGCAACAAGAGTGAAATTCCATCTCAAAAAAAAAGTATATGGTTATTCTTATTTAGTATTTGTACAGTCCAAAAATATATATGTATTTGGTAAGAACAAAGTATTTGCTCAATGCTCTACACAGTTCCAGCCTAAACTAGGAAAACAAAATATATTAGGACCAAGACACAATACCCAAGGGGGTGGTCAAATGTCAGAGGTGTAGGCCTAATTATTTATTTATTTTTCTGGCTCTGCTGTGGGAACCTTGGTCTTGACTCCTCCGAGTCCCAGAATCACAATCTTCAGGAAGAGATTCCAGCCACACCTCTTGTCCTAATCCCTAATCTTAGCTCAGGAAACCAATAAGCTTCAAATGTATATACCAGGATGTTTTCCTAACCCTCGGTAAGGACTCAACCATGAGAGTGTTGCTCACAAGGAGGGCCACATCCCTCCTATGTTCTTTTTCTGGTTTAATACATCTGCCAACATGCAATATATTCCCAGGATGAGCTTATTCTTGAGAACTAAATATGTTCTTCATTTTAATATAAAGTTAGAATTCTGTATTCATGAATCAAAAAAAGAGACGTGAAGTGATCAGCCATGCTCAGATGACCAAGGGAGTTGGGAAGGGTATTATAAACAAAACAAAAGGGAAGAAAACTATTTTAAGGAATCACAACAGTAGAAAAAGTGCCTTGCTTTTTTCTCAGAAGGTAACATTTCTCAAGCAGGAAAAAAAAAATTAATCCCTATGCCTCCCAAAAAGAACATTTAAAATCTTCCTAGCAATGAAAGAAGTCACTATGTCTCCCATTAGTTTATAAACCATAAAATAGACTTTATGTCTGAAGCCTTAAAAAGAGAATAAAAGCTATACTTCAATATTAATCATGCATTTGTTAAAAGGGGCAACACTTTTAAAATAATGAACCACTGGCATTTAAGTGTTGCTACAATGTTCTAAAAATGTACTCTGAATATTTTAGAGGAAGAGATGATTGGTACGGCTACACCTTCTAATGTAAAACATATGTGCTTTAAAAATAAACTTGGATTTTAAATGTTCAAAAATTTATTTCTATCTTGTCTAGATTTAGCTTTATGAGTAATTTCATGTTTGCAATATTAATTCTTCTTTTTGAAACCAGTTTGTCAACTGCTTTCAAGTTTTTAAAAATGCAACTAAAATTTTAAGCTTAAAACCTCAAATCTGTAAAATTTAGTGATTTTTTTTTTACAGCTCAAAAGATGTGGCCTAGTATGATATTCACCCTTTAAATTCCTAACTTTAGAAAAACATTCTGTAATGTAGTCCTATGTACCACCACACAAACAATCATATACACATGCATATATATCTCCAACTTCTATTTTATTATATGTGTATATGTGTATACATATATAAACACATATATAAATGTATTTTTTCTGACAAATCTCTTTAATAATGCCTTAGAAATAAAATCAAATAATAGATTTATTGAGCAGTGATACAAATAGTTCCAATCAAAATAAATTACCCCAAATAATTTTTTCCCATTTGCATTACTGATATGTAAATTTGATATCTACCTTTACATGAATAAGAAATCTAATTTTGGCCAGGTAATTATCAACCTGGTATTAAATCAAAATTACATGCATGGAAGAGGGAGAGATATTACAAATCATGTACAAAACCAATTATAGCATAATAAACCTTTCTATATATTGGCAACTAGCTTATATTTTGACTAAGATTTCACTTAACAGATCTTTTGAAATATCACTTTTCATTATGTTTTATTGTTCTCTCTCTGTGCATGTATGTGTGTGTATATATATATACACTATTATATATAGTATATAATAGTATATATATGTGTGTACGTGTATACATACATACATACACACACACACACACATATATACTCTTTTAACTAAGATCTCAGTGAATGAAGAAGTCAACAGCTAATTGTTAGTTAATTGTTTAGGGAAAGAGATGTAGAGAAGTAAACATAAACTTCTATTTTTTCAGTTATTAGGAGTCATGTCTGAAACAGACACAGAAATAAATATTTGATTTAAACATATTGATGTTATAGTCCCAAAATAAATAAAAAGGTTCAAGAGGCTCAGTTCATCATTTAAAGTGTATGATAATTTTTAGTAGAGACCCAAATGCTGTTGTGTATTTGATAAAGAAAGAGAAACATATGTTAATATAATAACAGCTTTTCATTTTTTCCTATGGTGACAGAAAAATCTAAAGTGACTTTTCCCTGTCACTTTGGGTAACAAACTAATCCTGGAATGTTGGAGGGAGAATTTAGCACAACATGTTAAGGAAATGCAGATGGAACTGATGTTTTATTAGATGTGCTAAAAATATCTTTATGCTAGGAACTCCTTTCTTATCAAACACCACGGGGGCCCAGTTTCGCATCCTATGAACACCAGTGTGCTTTGTGAGAAACAGCCTGTTCTCTTTATATTTAAAACTTGTATTGTGCTTTATCTGGAAACCCGAACAAAAAGTGCTGCTAAATTAAGAGATACATGGCATCTTCTCTCGTTGACATGGAGACCATGGCTGTGATAAATATGGGCTAATATGCTTTGAAGAAAAACAAATAATCACAAGGGAAAACTTTATACTCTCCTGGAGGAAAAAGGAAATAATTTCAAAACTTAAATATTTTGTAGGATAAACAATCACAAATCTTACCAAGGTGATCTAGTAAGAATACTCTTTTTTTTCCCCTTGCACAAAGAAGATTATAATCCTTATTTAACTTGAAAGGAAACCTTAGTTTTATCTTATAAAATAAGATAGAAATCTCTAGGGCGGGACACTGGCTGCCTCATCAGTTATTATAATTTTATAAGAAATGACCTTTAAACTGTAGAGCATGAAATTAAGCAAAAACATTCTGTGTATAAGAAGAGCATTCCTAGACCTTGCCCTCAACGCAGATCTGTTATCATTCTAGATTTATCAGTGATGAAATTGGACACACTCGATTTTCCTCCCACTGGTAATATTTGCAGTCAGCATGAATAGACTTTCTCAGTACAGTTTTCAACTCCTGGCACAACAGTATCCTTTTTCCAAACTATAGCATAAATCACAGAAAAGTATCTCCTCATTTGTTTGGGATGAGTTTTAATTCAGAAACAATTTATAGTAATATTCTAAGAGACTGACTGAATTTGCTTTCCCAACTGAAAAAGGAATCAACTATTTGTTATTATTTAATGAAGCTTTGAAGCATGAGGAAGTCAATTATTCTTCAGTGCAGGTCTGTATTTCTTTTGAAATATTAGAAATTGAAGAATAGTAACAATAACTTAATCTTACCAAACACCATTATTCTATGCTCTTTTCTATGTACTTCCCATTATTAACTCCTCAAAGTGTCATAATAACAAGATAAAGTAGGTACCATGAGTATCACCATTTAACAGATAAGGAAAATGAAGCAACCTGACCAATATTACATTAAGAACTCTGTGGAAAAGTCAGATTTTTAAACCAAACGGTTAGGCTCAAACATCTATTCTCACAACCACTGTGCTAGTAACCTATGGCCTTTTAAAAGGCAATTGCTCATTTTCCTACCTTGTTGATGAGATCATATTTTTGCTGTAAAGCATTGGTTGTTCATTTTATATTTCAAAATGTTTCAGTGCAGTGCAGAGCCTGTGTTCCTCTTCTTTTATTTTATGACTCTGTTTTTTTTTTATTGGATGTGATTTTTAAAATCATAAATGTTTTTTACACTCCAAAAAATTATGGAGTGAACTAGTGGGATCACACATAAATATTTGCATGATTTTCAGTTTTTATATGGCAGTTATCTTACTTTTATAATAGGATTTTGCAGGTTGTAAGCTCAGAATTTCATGCTGAAAAATAAGAAAAATCCAAGCTCTTGTCATTTCTAGTCACCATAATTTGCTTCTTTCTCTTTGTAACAGTCACTCCTGTAATGATATGAGTTTTGGATAATTTTTTTATTTATTTCAAGTGATGTACAAAGGGGACTCCTGCATTTTCCCTGTTCCCTGAAGAGATTAAGAACTTCTGAGTGGAGACAAACGGGAAAAAATATTGTTTGTGGAACCTTGCCTAGGCTTGATGAGAAGGAGGAAAGAGCTCTTACAGCTAAAACTAATCAGTAACTGTGGTTTCTCCAAACATGGAAGAATTTTCCATCAACAGTCACAATGGGGAGTGTCTAGTTGGACCATCATGGAAGATGGATGTGAGTAAAACCGGATTACTTATTTATTATTTAAATGTAGAGTCTTGACTTTAGTAGCATTTTGGGTGCTATAGGTATACATAATTCAGTGATCTAAATTAAAGTATAATCCAATAAAAGTTATACCTATTATTGTCGTTCCCTTCTACTGAAAATTCAAAAGAGAAAAAGAAAAGGAGAGGGGAATATGTTTGTGCTCTAATGTTATGAATGTAAGAAACTGTTACAAATATTTCCAATACATAGACCATTATTTAGTTTTTCTGATGTTTTTACTGCTTAAATTCAGCAGATAATAGCCTTTGCAAGTATATAGATAGACAATGACATTTCAGGCATAATAGGCAGACTAGTAGTGGCTTTTGTTTTGTTTTGTTTTTCTCTGAAAATAATCTTCTATAGTTACTTCATGTTGCTACCGTGAAACAAATGATCCTCCATTTACCCCACTGGATAAATTTGAAAAGATCCCATTCCACTATCCTCTTTCATCCCTACCTGTCCCAAACTGTAGATGGCAGTTTTGTTATCATGTCACCTGAATTAACCTATTAGAGAGAATAGAGACCCTTAAATGTACATGTTTTATCAGAGTTGTGTGCACCCATTGTTGTGATGTTCTGCTCATGTTCTTCTGAGTTTCCTTAGGGATCTGGGGAGTTTGGATGGTGTAGCTGCAATGACAGAAGAGGACACTGTCCATTGTGGCTTTGAACAGACATGATCCATTCCCGGTGGTAGAGCCTTATCATTCAGTCTGGGGAGTGGACTGGAATCCAGCTGGCATTCATCGTCCCCCTGTCCTGCCTTGGCAGGGGTTGCAGTACACTAGTGATGACACAGCAGCCACATTGAGGGGAGTAGTTCTAATTCTACTCTCAGGGACACCCATCTGTGGTGTATCATTGGTGTCTGGTGGCTTTTGGAAATTCCAATATATAGCACAGTCATTTCTGTTTCTAAGAGGAGAGGACTTTTCAACTTAGCAAGAGTATAATGAAAAAGTGGGAGTTAGCAACTATTAAAGTTTTGGTAGCTTCTATTGGGCACCTAGAAACAAAGCCTAAATATGAGAAAAGATCAATAAGCCCTGTGGTAGAATCACATGAAAACCTTACTTTGGGATATTTTTGTGCATTTTAATGATTTCTGACTTTTAAATTTACTTTTCCAAAGCTGCCATTCTTTCTCAGGCTCCAAACTAACACTGAGAAGCAAGATTTAGGGGCACTGACCATGCATCTGATAAGTCATTACTTCAGGAAATATGTACTAAGCCCTTTTATGTGACAGGCACTGGAGTAAGGAAAATGGGCAAACAGCACTTGCTTCAAGGAGAGAAGAGCAACATGTCAGAAAGCCAAACTGAATTAAGGAGAGAAAATTAAATTTCTCATTTAACAGCTGCAACAATAACATACAAATAAATTTACTGATCAATAAGGGATGTACTTTCACGTAAGTTTTCAAACTCAGCAAGCATTAGAACACTAACCAATACTGAAATAAAGCCAAAGGCTAACTGCAGAACCACCAACTTTATTTTCTAATCAGATAATATTTCAGGGTTGTAGCCTTCTCGAAAACCTTTAAACATTAGCCTAATCCTTAAATACATGCTTTGCCTGGGAGTTAATACTAGGCATGAATAAAGTTTTTTTTTATAGAAAAAAAGACAGGTAACAGACATATATATTTACGGTATATAATCTATATACACATATATTCTGAATATGTATATGATGTGTATGTGCATACATACACTTTCCTTAGAATTTCTTAGTAATTATGAATATGGTAAGTGTTAGGCTGATTCCAAATGAGTGTAACTACACTAAAATTTCTGGCGCTCTGGGAGATACTGTCTTTTAATCAAGCATTCTTTATGAATATGTAGATAGTTTCTGATGTTCAATAAAATAAAATTACCTTTAAGAGCTTTTAAAATATAAAAACATGTTTTACAATACTTAGACTTACACACTCGAGGTTAAAATGCTGCACACTTTCAGATAGTACCACAATCCCAATTTCCAAAGTTGGTCTGTGTCTGGGAGAACGCCACTCCTTTTCACACCATGTGCAGGGGGAGGAAGGCAAGGAGCAGGACACTGGTCAAAGTACAAGCCACGTACACTCATTTCCTTTTGGCCCAGCCTTGGGTACCTCTTTGGGATGTGCAGATCCAGGTGAGGCACCACTCCATCCCAGGTCTGATGGATGTCCAGCCCCCACGGCCACCACCTCCTGCCCACCTGTCCTGGGAATGCCCCAAAAGGGCTGTGAAAGCCTTCTAAAAATGGGTTGAGCAGGTGTCCTGAAGCAGTAGGAGGCAGGAAATTCCTTGCTACCACACTGGGATTTATGCGAATCGGATCCAAACCTCCCTGGATGAATACCCGAGGCTGAGGGTTTGTGCCCTGGAGCATCCCTGAGAGACTTGAACTCTAGCAGTAACCCGCACAGTGTATCAGTGTGCCAGCTGTCATTGTGTGGTCTCTCAGTGGCTTTTAGCACAATTTTCTCACAATAGCATAGAGACTGAAACTCATGACACTGGACAACAATTAAAGCTCACCCTGAAGAACTAAGGTGGCACAGGGGCCAGTGCCAGTGGCTGCACAGAGCGACATCTCTGTGTTCCTCTCTCAGCTCATCTTCCCAAGGAAGAGAGATCCTGGTATCTCTCCACAAAGAACAGTTTCCATTCCTATCTGATGTGGTAACATTTGTTCCACATTTAGCATTTCAAATCTAAATTGCTCAGTCCCATATAAGATATCCTTGATTGACAGGAAAACTCAGATATACTGTTAGCTGAAGCTCAGCCAGGAGCCACAGATTTTGAGGCCAGACTGCAGGAACTCAACCCCAGGACTCTCATGCACCGTCCCCAGAGGAACTCTGGAAGGACTTGGAGAACACAAATGACTTCTGCAGATGTACCACAACAATGCCTCTCACTTTATGTGTTAGCTCTTATCTCAGAGTCAAATTGATAACAATGGTAATAAAGGAAGCAAACACTTATCTGGTATTTACTAGGTGTCAGGCCATTGTAAAAGCTTATTTACTTTGGTTTATTGAATCCTCATGTACAAGATGATGAGGTACATTTTCTACTGTACCCACTTTACAAGTAAGAAAACTGAGGCCCATTTCTCAAAATGTTTTGGAGAAAACAGTGCTCAGAGAATATGCATTCCTCTAAGCAACTAAAGCAGATGCAGCCTCTTTTTAGAAGTTTTCTGAAGAGCCTTATTCACTGGGCAAGACATGTCATATCCTCTTGTGTAACACCCCAGATTTTAAGAGCTTTTTCCAAAGTCTATTTTTTCAGGTCACAATGTTCTTTATTGTCCCTAGAGCTTATATGACAGCAGCAGCAGTGAAAGGATTGTACTCTGGTTCATTCCCAAAATCCCAAACGAAAAGCACAACTTTTTTGTTCTGACATCATAAAGTGCCCCGGAAGGGTACTTTATGTGTCATAAATTGCCTCTGAAGTGCCCCAGGCTCTCATTTTCTTTATACCCCAACCCACGCCAGTCAAATTTAAACGGTTGTCTCAGCCTTATAATTTTATTTAACATTCTATTATAGTATTTTAATATTGCAACAGAGTGATTTATTTTATAAATAGTTATTAATAATCTATGCTGAGCCAGACAATTAGACAACACAATGAACGTGAATCAGACAGGTAAACATTCACATACTCACAAAGTTTTTTCATCTAGTGGGGGACTCAGACATTTAACAGATAATACAGCATACAAATGTGCTAGGAAAGGAGTAGTAGCAACCACGGGGAAAAGACATCTTTACAAAGATGATTTCTACATTGAAATAATACAGATGGCGAGAATATTGTCAGGTGAGGAGGCAAAGATGTGGAGGCTGGAGGTGAGAGCTGGGTGGAAGGAGGAAGCAATTAGGCAAGCAGAACATCATGTTCAGGGTCAGGAAAGTGGAGCATAAAGCCCAGGTGAGGAAAGCAGCACAGTCTGGCCGAAGACAGAATTTATTCAAGAAATGAGATTGGAAAGGAAAGCAGGAGTGTATAACAAGGATGGTAAACCACTTTAGGGAGTTGGCACTTTATCCTTGGGGCAATGTGGAATCATTGAATGATTTTAGGCAGAGA
This sequence comes from Homo sapiens, assembly GCF_000001405.40. Lineage (NCBI taxonomy): Eukaryota > Metazoa > Chordata > Mammalia > Primates > Hominidae > Homo > Homo sapiens. The sequence continues at coordinate 77,985,224 of NC_000013.11, read as the reverse complement.
GTGATGGGATTTGAGTTATATTTTAGAAAGATCACTGTCTGAAATAATGCAATCAATTCAAAGAGAATATTCTAAAGTCAGAGACCAGTTTGAAAGGCTGCTAGAGTTGTGCAGGCCATTTTTGCAATGACTTAAACAAGGATTGTGGGAGTATGAACAGAGAGAGAAGTGGTTGCTTCCCAGAGCTATTTAGGACATAGCCCCTTTGGGAAATTGTGATCAATGGTATATTGGGCAAAGGGGTCCATTGCTGAATGCTGTTAACTAAACTAGGGGCACAGGAGGAGAGCAAGTTGGGAAGAAGATAAAAATCAATGAGTTCACATTAGGTATGTCAATTTTTAGCTGGAGTATCCAATTGCAGATGTCCAGTTAAAAGAAAATAGATATACATACCTAGAGTTCAAGGAATGATCTGAGATGGATTTATAATTTAGGAGTCAATAGCAGAAATAAAATGTAACCCATAGGAGAATATATGATTGTTTAAAGAAAATATAGAGAGTATTAAAACTAAGAAGACCCAATAAAGACCCTCTCCCACTGATTATCTCCTATATATTCATTCATGTATCTCATATTTATTGAGTGCAACTATTAGGTGAGTTGCTATGGAAGGAAAGCAATATATTCTATATGAGAAACTGAAAACCAGAGAGGCTAAATAGCTTTAAAATGTGTAAAAACTGAGACTCTTTCCTAGTTGAAAGATATTTCTACTACATCCATTTACTTCTAATTTAAATTAGACATGCTTTTCAGAACTAGTAGAAGTTCAAAATCCTCACTTCTCAATCCCTTGCACTTTCACTGCTGTATTTTCATCATTCTTACGTTTGCTTTAATATCGTGAATTTGCCACTGTCAATAGGCAGCATAACTCTCCTTAGATAATATATGTTATGGACACATATCCTAAATCAAACTATCCTTTATTCCTAACAGTCTACTTTGTTTACAAAAATTCAGTGGTATCCTTTATACAAATAAACAGAGAAGAAGTTTGTTTATAGTTCTTCTAGAAAACAAAAGGATCCATACTTCCTAAAGCAGCCTTGTAAATAAATAATGGAGCTGGTTTCGTCTCAGTTCCCATCCCACTGCTTCCAGATAAATTCCTCCTCCTGGTGACCTAAACAGGCCCTTTCTTCTGTGGCCCCAGCCTGGAGAAGATCACTTGTTGCATTTATGTTTATGGCTCCTACTCCTCAAAAACCCATTAAATCAAGACAACACAGATCACACTGTATTCCAAGGCTCCTACCTTCTTGCTTGAGTTTAATTTAGCACCAATTTGGTGTGATATGATTCTGTAAGAAGTTTTTATAGTTTCTCTTTATGTGCTACAAGTTTAAACAGAATATTAACAAATTATTTTCTTTCACACTAACCTTCATTTTGCTCAATTATTATTGTCCCTTGTGAAGTGATTGTGCTATTTCTGTTGCTACTCCTTAATATGACTTCTGTAATTATTCTGATTATTATTCAGCATCATTCTGGGTTTCCTAATTAGTCATACCTCTTCAATTTGTCATCCTGTATTGTTATTGTTTGTTTAACCATGAACTGTTACCTCCTTTAGAATAAAGACCACCTTATTTTGTGCGCCTAGCATCTAGCACTGTGCCCAGCCAGCATACAAGAGGCATGCAATAAATGATTATTTTGTGCCTTATTTTGTGTGCCTAGCATCTAGCACTGTGCCAAGCATACAAGAGGAATGCAATAAATGATTATTCAATAAAGAAATGTGCAAAGGAATGGGTGAAGATACTGCTTGATCATTATGATTTGGCTAGATTATCTTTGGATCAATATTATTCAAAATTTAAAAACTACTCATACTTAGAGGTTATGGATGGCAATAAAATCACTTGGCTAAATTACAATAACTTTAAAAATCATAAAATATGTAGGAATAAATCTAGTGAAAGATGTATGAGACAACTACATAGAAAACTACAAAATGTACTGACAGAAATTGAGAAAGATTTAAATAATGAGATATACCATGTTCATGAATTGGAAGGTTCAATATTTTAAAAATATCAGTTCTTCCTAAACTCACTTATAAATTTGATGTAATCCTCCCAACCAAAATTCCAGAAGGTGTTTCTGTGGAAATTAATAAGCTAATTTTAAAACGTGTTTGAAAATGCAAAAGGCCAAGAATAGCCCTGGACAAAGATTACTGTTAATACAAGAAGTCAAGCCAGTCACATATAAAGCTATTATATTTAAGAAAGTTTGCTATAGACTCAAGGATAAAAATATAGACCAGTGAAAAAGAAGAGCACATTCAGAAACTGACCGATTATTAGAACTGTCACCTGATTTATGACAAAGGTGACACTGCAGTGCAGCAAGGAAGGATGGGTTTTTTACATAAATGATTTGGGGTCTGCTGAATTGTACATGGAAAAAGTGAATCATGACCCCTTCCCAAGCCTCACACAATACACAAAAATCAGTTGTAGATGTACGGGAGATCTAAATGTAAAAGTAAAATAATAAAGCTGTTGTTAAAAAATAAAAAATCTTCGTAACTTAAAGCCAAGCAAAGATTACTTAAATAAGGTTAAAAATGTACTAGCCATAAAAGAAAAAGTTATAAATTAAACATCCCTGTTAAAATCACTTATATTAATCAGAACATGACTAAGGACTGAAAAGGAAATACATCAACTAGCAGAAGATATTGGCTAGGTATCTATTCAACAAAGAATATTTTACTTCCAGGATTATGAGAACTTCCACAAATCAATCAGAAAATGGCAGACAATTAAATTTTTTAAGTAGCCAAAAGTTTTGAACAGACATTTTACAAATGAGGATATCCAAGTGACTAACATATGAAAGATATTCAGTTTCAGTAATCATCAAGGAAATGCTAATTAAATCATAGTGATATGCCATGTACATACACACCAGAATGGATAAAATGAGAAAGGCAATGCCATATTTACCAATATTATGAAGTAACTGGAACCCTAGACAATGACAGTTTTCCAGATTGGTTGAACTGATTTGCATTTCCAACAACAATGCAAACCAGTTCAACCAATCTGGAAAACTCTCAGTGTCTATTAAACCTGAATGTACTCAAATGCAATGACCTAGCATTTATTACTTAAGAATATAACCCACATAAATGCCATTATAGACTGAATTGTGTCCTACCAAAATTCATATGTTGAAATCCTAACCACTAATATGACTGTATTTATTTGGTGGCAGGGGCCTCAAGAAGGTTAGCAGGATTAAATGAAGCAAAAAGGATGGAGCCCTAATTCAATAGGAATGATGTGATTATAAGAAGAGAAAGAGACACCAAAGCACAGAGGCAAGATGGTGTGAGGACACAATGGGAAGGTGGCATCTGCAACTAAGGAGAGAAGCTTCTGGATAAACCAAATTTGCTGACCTCTTAACCTTGGACATCCAGTCTCTAGAACAGTGAAAAAATTAATTTCTGTGGTTTAAACTACATAGTCTTTGCAACTTTGTTATGGCAGCCCTGGCAGACTATCAGAAATGCATTAAGATGTTCACAAAAAGAAATGTACAAAATGTTCTTAGCAACATTCTTGTATTTGGTTATTCTGAGAATAACCAAAGCCTAAAAACAGTCCAGATGTCCATCAAGTGTAATTTGTATAAATTATGTTTATTTATTCCAAACAATGTAATTTGGCAATGAAAACTAACAGATTACAGCTAGACACAGCAACAGGAATAAATCACAAACATAATGTTGAGCCAAAGAACTAAGTACAGATGAGTACGTCTTGAATGATTCTATTCATATAAAGTTATGATGAATCAGTCAAAATGAATCTGCTGTGTTAGAAATCAGGAATCAGGAGACTGGTTACCCTTGGGGGTCAGTAACAAAAAGGGAGTGAAAAGGGGCTTTCTGAGATGTTGCTAATATCCTGATCCTCAATTTCAGTGAATGCTGGTTACATGCATATGTGTCTTTTGTGAAAAGCCACAGCACCATCACTTATGCAGCTTTTTGTGTGTATATTATACTTCAATAACAACAAGCAAGTGATAGATCTGGGACTCAAACCCAGGCTTTGAGGCTCCAAATCTCTTGTCCTCTCATTATATTGTTTAAATGGTTTTATATTCCAATTATATCAGATAGTTTTAGATATCTGTATCTAATTCTTTCACATAATCGATACCAACAACTCTTGTCTTAAAGATCTAGAACTTTTGCCATGACTAAATAGCTCCCAGTAATAAGGTTCTCTTTACTGAGCTACCCCTTCCTTTTCTTTTCAGAACATTTTTTGTTCTCTTTAATTCAGAGAGCTGGTGGCTTCCATATTTATTGTTTTCTCCCATGAAGCTTAGAAGCTGGCAGGGCTTTTCTGCTCACAAAATGCCCTGCATGCTTACACTGAGTGGAAGTTTCCCATGCTGAGTCATGCTGGGAATATGGAAAAGCCCCTGGCTTTAAAAGTTCCCAGAAACTATTTAATCTTCAGTTCATCAAACGCACCCAGATTCTAATTATGGCAAGACGCAGTACATGGATTTTCACTTCTTACTTTCAACTCATAATTTTTCATTTAAATCTCCCAACTATTTACTCTTTCACCTAATTTTTTTTTAATCTAACCCATTTTTTTCCACATGATGAAATCAACTGAGACATGTTTCTGAAGTGTGGCACAAGCCAGAGGAAGGGCCCTCATGTCCACGGATTCTCTATTTACTAATTTAAAAATAATTAAACCTAAAAAGTGTTCATGTCAAAGCCTTTAATATATTTTCATTCCTTATCAACAGTTCTAATTGGCATTTACATCCATTTCTAGGTCTACATTATCTTATGATAAAATAACTTTATTTTACTATGAAATAAATATGATTAAAGAAAGAAACATAACCAAAATCCTTGGAGAGTAAAAAATATATACATAGGTCATTTTTTCCCCTTCTCTGCTATTATAACACCTCCCGTTATCAGTTCTCTAAAAGAACAATTCCAAACCTCAGAGTGTGCTGAGTCAGTTTATCAGCTTCTCTGCCACTTGCTTACTAGTATTTTTTGGACAACAATCATACCCACCTCTCTGCCACACTCGCAGGAAAGATATTTATTTCCACATATGCCCTCCTGGCTTCTGCACATCTAGATTCCTGTTCCCCTCTCCAAAAGCTGTTGCTAGCAGTCACATTTTTTTCTGCTGATCAAAGAAGAAAAGCAAAATCCATCTCTCCTTCTCTCCCTCCCTCCTTTTCTCTCTCCCTCCCTCCTTAAATCCCTTTTTCCCACTTAACTTTTGGAAAAACAATTGCGCAAGAAATTAGAAAACCCCAAAGATAGTATTTTCAAATTTCAACAAAATTATAAAAGATACACCTTTTTATTTGTGCCTCAGGATGCACAGAAAATAATGGATTTTCATATGGAAAAAAATAAATTTCAATGTTTCAAGAAAAAAAATGTAGCTGGACCAATCCTTATCAAGCCTTGAATGTGATCCCTTTACTCTTGACAATCAAGGACTCTAATCTACAGGTCTTTTACTTCTAACTCATTCTAAAATACATTTCAACTCACAGTTCCAAAATTCAGCCTCTTGAACCACTTTTCCTGTACTTAAACCTCATTACCTATCTCATTTTTCATGACTTTCTTTGCTATAAAGGTCATGGATTAAATTACCATATTTCTTCCCCTTATAAATCAGCAGGTATTAATTTTCTTAATGAATCATCAACTATTTATCAAGAGCCTATCATGTACCAGGCATTGTTTTAGGTGCTGGGCTACAGATATTAACAAGACAACTAATAAGAAGTTGCACTAATAAATACACAACACAATACCAAAAAGTAATGTAACTATCAACAATGACCTATATGAAAAGGAAATTAAGACAATCCCATTTGCAATATCATCAAACATAGTAAAATACTTTGGAATACATCTAACCATGGAGGTGAAAGATTTGTACACTGAAAACTATAAAACATTGATTAAAGAAGTTAAAGTAGGCACAAATAAATAGAAAGACATCCTGTGTTCATAGATTGGATGAATCAATATTGTTAAAACATCCATATGACTCAAAATAATCTATAGATTCAATGAAACCCCTGTCAAAATCTCAAAGATGTTTATTACAGAAGTAGAAAAAAAAAGCTCTAAAATTCATATGGAACTCCGAAAGACCCCAAACATCCAAAGAAATCTTGAGCAAAAAGAACAAAGCTGGAGGCATTGCACTTCCTGACTTCAATATGTATTACAAAGCTACTGTAACCAAAACAGTATGGCACGGGCATAAAAGCATAGAACAGTGAAACAAAATAGAGACCCCAGAAATAAGCCCACATATGTATGGTCAACTGATTTTCTACAGAGTGCCAAGAATACAAGGGGGAAGGGGTAGTCTTTCAATAAATAGGGTTGGCAAAACTGGATATCCATCTGCAGAAGAATGAAATGGGATGCTTATCTTTTACCAAACACAAAAATTAACCAAAATTGATTAAAGATTTGATGTAAAATTTGGCACCATACAACACCTAGAAGAAAATGTAAGGAAAAAATGTCTCAACATGGGTTTTGACAAAAATTGTTTCTTTGATAGGACACCAAAAGAACAGGCAACAATAGCAAAAATAGTAGTGAGACTATAACAAATTTTTTAAAACTTCTGCACAGCAAAGAAAATAATCAACAGAGTGAAAAGGCAAACTATGGAATGGGAAAAGATATTTGCAAACCATATATCTGATAAAGGGTTAATATCCAAACTATATAAAGGATTTCTGCAACTCGAGAGCAAAAAATAAGTAATTTGGTTAGAACATTGGAAAAGGAATCAAGTAGACATGTCCCCCAAAAGGACATACAAATGCCAACAGATAATATAAAAACATGCTCAATATCATTAATCACCAGGGAAATGCAAATTGAAACCACAAACAGGTATCAACTCACATTGGTTAGAATGGCTATTGTCCAGAAAACAAAAGATAACAAGTGTTGGTGAGGTTGTGGAGAAATTAGAATCCTCATATACTGTTAATAGGATGTAAAATTGTACTGCTGCTATGGAAAACAGTATGGCAGTTTCTCAAAAAACTAAAAATAGAATTACCATATGATACAGCAGTCCAACTTCTGGAGATAAAGATAGATAGATAGATAGATAGATAGATAGATAGATAGATAGATAGAGATATGTGTGTGTGTGTGTGTGTGTGTGTGTGTGTGTATCAACTGAAATCAGGATCTTGAAGACATATCTGCACTGTCATATTCACTGCAGCATTATTCACAATAACCAAGATATGGAAACAACCCAAATGTCCATCACAGATGAATGGGTAAAGAAAAGATGGCACATATATATATATATATATATATATATATATATATATATATATATGTATATATATATGTGTGTATTTTATGTATATATATATATATACACGTGTATATATATATATACACGTGTATATATATATATATATATACACGTGTATATATATATATATATATATATATATAATAGAATATCATTTAGCCCTTAAAAAGAAGGAGATCCCTTTGGGAGTCTGAGGCGGGCAGATGACCTAAGGTCAGGAGTTCGAGACCAGCCTGACCAACATGGTGAAACTCCATCTCCACTAAAAATACAAAAATTAGCCAGGCGTGATGGTGGGTGCCTGTAATCCCAGCTATTTGGGAGGCTGAGGCAGGAGAATCACTTGAACCTGGGAGCCGGAGGTTGCAGTGAGCTGAGATCATGCCATTGCACTCCAGCCTGGGTGACAAGAGTGAAACTCCATCTCAAAAAATAAAATTAAATTTAAAAATAAAATAAAATGAAGGAGATCTTACCATTTATGATAACATGGGTGGATCTGTAATACGTTATGGTAAGTGGGATAAGTCACAGAAGGACAAATACTGCATATTCCTCTTATACGTAAGAGATACCTAAAATAATCAAAGGTACTGAAGTAGACAATAGAATGATAGTTACCAAGGGATTGGTGGGAGGGGGAAATAGGAAGTTGTTGTTCAATGTGTATAAATTTACAGTTATACAACATGAGTGAGTTCCAGAAATCTGCTGAACAACCCAGTGACTATAGTTAACAATAAGATTTTGTGAACTTAAAAACTTAAAGAGAGTAGATCTCATGTGAAGCGTTGTTACCATAAAAACAAAACAATGGGACACAAGGAAAATTTGGAGGTAATGGATATGTTTATTACCTGGCTTGTAGTAATGATAACGTGAGTGTATGTATACACTTGTCCAAACCCACCAAACTGTGAACATTAATTACATGCAGCTTTTTGGATACTAGCTGTACCTCAATAAAGCTGAGGGGGAAAGTGATATTACTGTAAACAAATAATTTGGCCTCATGACGGGTGGAGAAACTATTTTAGAGAGTGTACTAGGGAAGACTTCTCCAAGGAGAAGACTTGAGAAGGAAGTGAGGACCCTAATAAAGTGAGAGATCAATACAGGCAGACAACTAGGATAGATCATTTCAGTCTGGGAGAGGTGGGAATGGGGGAAGAAGTTCAGCAAGAAGAAGTCCCTGAGAAAAGGTTCAGCATGGCATGTTTCAGGATCTGCAAAGAGGCTGGTATAGGTGGACATGAGTGGGGGCAGGGTAAGAAAGGAAGTTGGAGAGCTTACCAGAATGGATCATTTAGGGCCTTGTAGGCAATGGCAATGAGTTAGAAATGTATTTGGTGTTTATCTTCCAAATTATATTTGGAAATATATATGAACTTTATTCAGCTACTGGGAGACATTGGAAAGTCTTAAGCAGGGGAATGACTTGAATTGACTTAGACTTGCATTTGGTCTTGCTGGCTAGGGTGTGGAGAATTGACTATAGACATAGCAAGAGTGCAGGGAGACATCTCAGAACATCCTCTGTCTCTCCTGGTTATGCAGACTTGGACATTTCTCGGATAAGGCACGAACATTCCATCTTAGCAGTTCACTGTCTGCCTTTTCCTCATCTATCTTGCCTAACTCAAACCTAAGACTCTGCCACCTTTCTGCTGCATCAACCTAAGCTGCTCCCTGCTAATGGAGAGCAATCCATACACCCACAGCTGACTTACATTTATTGGAGTCCATTTAAGGGAGGATACCACCCCTCATATTGTCTTATGCCCAATTTCTGCCTCTGAAGAAAGAATAAGTAAAAACTAAAAGGCAGAAATGAAATCCACTGGCAGACAGTCTGGTGCCACACCCTGGGTCTGGTAGTTAAAGATCGACCCCTGACCTAACCGGTTATGTTATCTATAGATTCCAGACATTGTATGGAAAAGCACTGTGAAAATTCCTGTCCTGTTCTGTTCTGATCTGATTACCAGTGCATGCAGCCCCCAGTTATGTACCTGCTGCTTGCTCAATCAATCACAACCCTTTCACGCAGACCCCCTTAGAGCTGTGAGCCCTTAAAAGGGATAGGAATTGCTCACTCAGAGAGCTCAGCTCTTGAGACAGGAGTCTTGCCGATGCTTCTGGCCGAATAAACCTCTTCTTTCTTTAATTCGGTATCCGAGGAATTTTGTCTGCAGCTTGTCCTGCTACATTTCCTGGTTCCCTGACTGGGAAGTGAGGTGATTGGTGGATGGTCGAGGCAGCTCCTTAGGTGACTTAAGCCTGCCCTGTGGAACATTCCGGTGGGGGACTCTGGCCAGCCCGAGCAACGTGGATCCTGAGAGCACTCCCAGGTAGGCATTTGCCCCGGTGGGACGCCTTGCCAGAGCAGTGTGTGGCAGGCCCCCGTGGAGGATCAACACAGTGGCTGAACACTGGGAAGGAACTGGTACTTGGAGTCTGGACATCTGAAACTTGGTAAGACTAGTCTTTGGAACTTGCCCACTCCATTTGAGTAGAAGCGTGGCTTGCTCACCCACGGTGTGCCTTTATTGGCACTTTGGTTTTGGTTTTGGTTTTGACTTGGTTTGAATTGCTTGACAGGACTGGTCTTGGGAACTTGCCTACTCCATTTGAGTGGAAGCATGGCCTGATCACCGATGGTGTGCCTGTACCGGCACTTTGGTTTCTGTTTTTGATTTGACTTGGATTGCTTGATACTTTGGTTTTGTCTTTGACTTGGCTTGAATTTCTGGATACTCTGATTTTGGTTTTGATTTTTGTTTGGTGTAAACTGTAAAAGTGTGTGTGTGCCCTTTTTACCGGTTCTTTGTTTTGTGGTGTGCATGTGGTGTGAGCGTGGTGTTTTGCCTCAAAGAAGCATGGGTCAGGCACAAATAAGCCCACCCTACTAGGAACTATGTTGAAAAATTTCAAAAAGGGATTTAAGGGAGACTATGACACCAGGAAAACTTAGAACTTTATGTAAAATAGACTGGCCAGCATTAGAGGTAGGTTGGCCATCAGAAGGAAGCCTGGAAAGGTCCCTTGTTTCAAAGGTATGGCACAAGGTAACCTGTAAAGCCAGGGCACCCAGACCAGTTCCCGTACATAGATGCTTGGTTACTGCTGGTTTTAGATCCCTTCACAGTGGTTGAGAGAATTGCAGCATAAGTGGCTGGCAGAGGCAGAGAGAGAGAGAGAGAGAGGCAGAGAGGAGAGAGAGAGACAGAGAAGAGAAAGACAGAGATATACAAGTAGTTAAGAAAAAAAGTGTACCCTATTCCTTTAAAAGCCAAGGTAAATTTGAAACCTATAATTGATAATTGAAGGTATTCTCCATAATCCTGTAACACTCCAATACTACTTTGTTGTCAGTGTAAACAAGGGCGTATCCCAAAAGCACTGAGGCCTTCCTATCAAAAATCCTTAACCCAGTAGCCCGTGGATGGCCCAAATGCATTCAATCTGTAGCAGCAACTACTTTGCTAACAGAAAAAAAGTAAAATAATAATAATAACTTTTAGAGGAAACCTCATTGTGAGCACACCTCACTAGTTCAGTTCAGAAATATCCTAAATCAAAAAAGCAAAAAAGTAGCTTACTAACTCAAAAATATTAAAGCAAGGGGCTATTCTGTTAGGAAAAAAAAAGCCATCTATACCAATTCTAAGTTAATTTGGACAAAACAAGGTCTTATTAATAGCAAAAGATAATTAAAATCCCAAACTTGCAAGGTTTTCAACAAAAGTAAAGTTTGCTAAAAGTTAACAGTGTAACATGTTTTATACTAACTTCTATTCTTGCGGCCTTAGACAGTCTAGTCCACAGACACAAAAGAAGTTTGCTTTGGAAAAAAATGGTTATCATCTTCAAAAAAAAAAAAAGGAAAAAAGGGGGGGCAGAATTTATGTAAAAAGAGTATTATATGGTAAATTCTTGTCCTGAAATAAATTAGCTGGTTGTTTAAAGAAAGAAATATTTGTAATAAGTCAGAAAGTTGAAGCATGTTGAAGAACTGCCTGCGAAAGTCATGAAAAAAAAGGTTATAAAAGGAAATTCATGCAAGAAATGTTGTCTAGTTTAAAAGTAATTAGGCCTCCTAAATGTAAAACTATTAAAGAAACAGTTTATGTGCAAGGTATATAAAAAAAGTAAAATATACTTTTAATAGAAGAATTATAAGGAGGCATAAGAATGTAAAGTTTTACCTACATTAAAAGGTTAAAAATATGTGCGTTTTGTTTTAAAGGTTTAATCAAGTTTTAAAATGTTAATTGAAAAAAAAAATCTGTGTGTAAACATCGGCTAAAGTTAAAGAGGTATCATCCAGTTTTTCTGTAAACTGGACATTAAAATAAAAGCATAACAGGTTTTTCTTGAAGTACCAACCTGCTCTTTAGCAAAAATTATAAAATGTTAAAAAGAGTCTATAAAATCTTACCTTATAGTCAAATATTAAAAATTAGATAAATATGTCTGCAAGGTTTTATTAAAATTAGGTTTAACATTAATAACACATTAATATAAAGGTAAAATTTAACTTATCTGGTATAAAAATCATACAGGAAGCATTGTTAAATGTAATGGTATTTGGCTTTCTTTGATTTAAAAACTAATAAAAATAGGTGCTAAAGGAAATTTCTCAGTAACAAGGCACTAAGGACTATAAAGTCCACTGCCAAGGTCCCCACATTTAAAACAAATGGTCAATTTCTTAAAAATTATATACTTGGCTTATCTTCCACTTAAAAGTCTTTTAGTATGCATACCACCCCTAGAATTTCCAGTAAACCAGCACCAGCCTGAAGATCACGTTCTCATCAAAAGGTGGAAAGAAGAAAAACTCGAGCCAGCCTGGGAAGGACCCTACTTTGTGCTGCTAACCACCAAGGCTGCTGTTCATACAGCAAAAAAGGATGGACTCATCACACCTGAGTCAAGAAAGCGCCACCCCCTCCAGAGTCGTGGGCCATAGTCCCAGGGGAAAACCCTACCAAGCTAAAGCTAAGAAAAATTTAACTCTTTTCATCTATTCTATTACTCTTTCTTCTTTCCTCATTCTATTGCGGACCATCTAGTTATTAACATAACCAAGTCAATTTCACCTCAAACTGTTGCATTTAATGCTTGCCTTGTTATACCCTGTGGAGACTTGCCAAGTCAAAGACAGCTTTCTACTTCAGAAAAGTACTTCTATCCCTCTTGACTCTCTTTAGACTGGGCATTGGTAAACTAGGACCGTTTAATCGGGGGAGATTTCGATAAAGACCCCAGTGCCAACCAGGAGTCTTGCCCCCCAACATAGAGCTTTTATGCCATAGTTGGTCCAACATTCTGTGGACCACTAAAGAGCAAGGATGAACTGCCCCGACTGGTTTTTATAATTTCCTAAAATCATACATTCATTTTACTAGAGGATCATAGAAGTTAAAGACTTAAAACAAACTTTAGCAATTAAGACAGGATACCAAGATGCAAATGCCTGGTTAAAATGGATCAAATATTCCGCCTGCACGTTAAACAAAAGCAATTGTTATGCTTGTGCACATGGCAGGCCAGAGGCCCAGATTTTCCCCTTTCTATTAAGGTGGTCCTCCAGTTGACCAGGCGTAGGCTGCATGGTAGCTCTTTTCCAGTATTCTACAGCCTGAAGTAATAAGTCATGCCAAGCTCTCTCTGCTATATCCCAAAGTCTGGCACCCTGTGGGTCAGCCCCCAAGGGCCATCCAGCTTCCGCTTCCCAACATTAAGTTCACTTCATGTCTCTCACGACAGGGAGGCAACTTAGCATCCCTTGGAGACCTGAAGGGATGCGATGAGCTTAAGAATTTTCAAGAGCTTATCAATCAGTCAGCCCTTGTTCATCCCCAAGCAGATGTGTGGTGGTATTGTGGTGGATCTTTACTGGGCACTCTGCCGAATAACTAGAGTGACACTTGGGCTTTAGTCCATTTGGCTATCCCTTTCACTGGGGCATTTCATCAACAAGAAGGAGAAAAAATAAGACATCGTAAAGTGAGAGAAGTCCCTATGGATCTTTCAACTCTCACATCTATTTAGATGCAATTGGAGTCCTGCAAGGAATACCAGATCAATTTAAAGCTTGAAATCAAATAGCTATAGGATTTAAGTCAATATTTTAGTGGGTGACAGTTAATAAAAATGTAGATTAGATAAACTACACCTATTACAATCAACAGCAGCAAGCTTTCCATGAGTTAAAAAAAAAAAAAAAAAACTCATGTTGGCCCCAGCCCTGGAGCTACCTGACCTGACAAAACCCTTTACACCCTATGTGTCAGAAAGAAAAAAAAAATGGCAGTTGGAGTTTTAATCCAGTCTGTGGGGCCTTGGCCAAGGCCAGTGGCCTATCTCTCAAAACAACTAGATGGAGTTTCCAAAGGCTGGCCCCCATGTCTAAGGGCCCTGGCAGCAATGGCCCTGTTAGCACAAGAAGCAGATAAAGTAACTCTTGGGCAAAACCTAAACATAAAGTCCTCCCATGCTGTGGTGACTTTAATAAATACCGAAGGACATCATTAGTTAACAAATGCTAGACTAACTAGATAACCAAAGCTTGCTCTGTGAAAATCCCAACATCACCATTGAAGTTTACAACACCCTAAACCCCGCCACCTTGCTTCTGGTATCAGAGAGTCCAGTTAAACATAACTGTGTAGAGGTATTGGACTCAGTTTATTCTAGTGGGCCCAACCTCTGAGACCAACCTTAAACATCAGTAGACTGAGAGTTATACGTGGATGGGAGCAGCTTTGTCAGCCCCTGCAAAGTGACTCTGAAGAAGACAACAAGCCCTGCTCCAGTCACACTTGGAAGCTGACTGGTCCACACACAGCCAAAGCATGAAGAAACTCATCACAAGACTCATTTTCCTTAAAATTTGGACTTGTGCAGTAAGGACTTCAACTGACCTTCCTCAGACTGAGGGCTGTTCCCAGTGTATACATCAAGTCACTGAGGTAGGACAAAAAGTTGCTAAGGCCTTATTATTTTATAGTTATTATAAGTGTACTGGAACCCTAAAAAAAACTTGTTTGTATAATTTTATTCTATATAAGGTATGTAGCCCAGGAAATGACCAATCTGATGTGTGTTATGACCCATCTGAGCCTCCCATGACCACGGTTTTTAAAATAAAATTAAGAACTGAAGACTGGTGAGGGCTCATAAACAACACAAGTAAAGTGTTAGCCAAAATAATAATAATAATAAAAAAGATAATAAATAGCCCCCTGAGAGAATTATACAATATTATAGGCCTGCTACTTATGCACAAGACGGCTCATAAGGATACCAGACCCCCATTCACATGCTCAACCAAATCACACAGTTACAAACTATCCTAAAAAGGGACAGGAATTGCTCACTCAGAGAGCTTGGCTCTTGAGACAGGAGTCTTGCCGATTCTCCCAGCCGAATAAACCTCTTCCTTCTTTAACTCGGTGTCTGAGGAGTTTTGTCTGTGGCTCGTCCTGCTACACGTTCTATAGCTTCCCTTTGACTCAGAAAATACCACCAGGGGTCTGGAATATTCTAGAATCTTTGTTTCTTACATTTGACATTTCTTATGTTATACTGGGTCTAGAATTTAAGCTCTCTAAGTTGAAAATACCCAAGCTGAATAAGTATGGGTATAAATACAATTTTGTTCAGTATTGATTTTAGAAAAGTTTTAAATGAAGCAATTGTTCTTTCCAAAGCTTCTTCATCAAGTAGAAAATGCAGACACTGGTTCCTAAAAAATCTTGGAATTTTACATTAATCTGCAGCTTGAAAGGCAAGTGGGAATGTTAAAGAAACATTCCAACCAATTTTGCACAGGTCAAGGAAAACCAAGTTTTTTCAAACATCATGTCTCTTGTTTATTTACAAAATCAGATACATGCAGGCTTCTGGTGTTGGTGGAATGCAGCTGACCTCGTAGAAACATTTCTGGCTGCTCATTTACACTTTGAAGTTGTTAAAATTTTCCAGAGCAAATATCCTAATTTCTAGTAACACAAGGTATGTCATGTACAGCACAACTACTAGTTTAAAGGAGAGTCAAGCTAGAATACAGAATGGCTGTTCCCAGTCATAAGCACATTATCCCTACTGAATAAAATGAAAATGGTGCAGGCGGGTAATGTTTTGAAAGTAGGATAAGGGTTCCTCATGACTTTCCTTGTGAACAGGGGCCTCGGATCAGCCTGTAGTGGACATCAGAGAGATTCACGTTACCCCAGTGTGATAAATAATGAAGCACAATGCATAATTGTCACTAAGTTCTTAGAACTTTCTCAGACCCAAACTACCATGCAGAATGCATTACCTCAGGCTCTGCAGGGTCACGAGGGAGATAACCCAGTGTCAGGACAAGTAAATAGACATAATTGTACCACACTCCTGTCGTTATAACAGCCCTTTAGAAAAACTGGAATTCCATTTTGCTCAGCTGCTTTCCTTACTCTATTGGAAAAAACAAATGGTCTTTGCAAACAGCAATCCTGAGTGTGTAAATTAATTTCTAACTTTACAGTTCAACCATAGACCTGGTTACAGAATTAACTTTTAAAATGAACAATTTATTTTGTATTCTCACCTGAAAATATTACTGTTTATGAAAAATGCTTAATAAAATTTAATGTTTAAAAAATAGAGGCAATGACACAAAATATCCAATTATGTTATTGCTATATAACTAATAGGAACTCTGGTGCCACAAGGCTTAAACGAAACTCAGTGCTTTTTAAGAAGCCATTTTTCAGTGCTTCTTAGAAAACTGTTTTAAAACTCTCCTACTTTAAGACCAATGGATGTCATTTTACAATACCAAACGCTGAAGTAACTCTAAGTATCTCCTAAATTGTGGAAGGGTGACGAAAGTTAGTCTCTCATTACTCCTGAATATTTGTCCAACTTCAAGAACAATCTGAGACCTGAAAAAAATTGATGTTATTTCTCAAACGGCCTAACTTATTTTTAAGGAGCAGTACACAATTTTGCCTGTGTATCAGAATAAAGTAGTTGACACAGAACCAGCTCAGGAGGCAGAAGACGTGAGTATGATTTGAAATCACCAATGATCAGCTGACTCTGTGACTAAAGTCCTCAGCTAATTGCCTTATTTAAGAACATGTTGTTACCTACCCCTCATCCGTAGCACATGCTCTCTTTGTTTCCTTCATAGCACTTAATAAAACTTATAATTATTTTTATTTTCATGTTTATTTACTCACTCATCAACTCAAATATATATGAAGGCAGAAAACGTGTCTGTCTTGTTCAACTTAGTATTTCTTCCAATTCATAGTTGAAAAAAAATGAGCTCAAAGATTCATGCATTCATTTATCCATTCAACAGACATTTGCTAAATTTTTATTTTATGTAAGCACTAGGGCCTAGAAAAGAGAATCTACTTCACAATATTTTTAAATATTGAATGAGATCATATGCTTACTTTATGAAGTAAACATATAATTAAAGTGAACTGTTGTTATTATTTACTTAATATAAAAGGATTCTAATTCCAGAGAAAATAGCATCTCTTCCTCTACAACCAAGGAGCAAATATTCTCAATGTTGCTTAAGATAACAGAGTTGTCAAACATTGGTTTCTAACCTATGAACTAATCTTCACATTAAAAAAAAATGCATTATAGTATGTAAATATATGGGAGAAAATTCTATTTATATTTCATGATTTTCATTGATAAAAAATTGATTTCATATGGTGTAATATTACTGATAAGGAAATCTTTTGTCAGAGTTCAGTCATAATTCATGAACTTAGGGAATAAACTTAAACTGTTCATGGCACACAGTCTTTTCAGTTCACATTTATATGAACAATGCATTTGGATGCCTTTGTTGTTGGAGAATCTCAAGGAGAAGACCCAAGCAAGGCTGAGAAGAAGCATCAGAGGCAAGGCAGAGATGCAGGATGCCTTAAGGCATAGTAGCTCACTTAAAGGAAGACGTGGTTCAGACTGCAGTATCAAATGAACATCTACATAGCTCTTAGGAGGAGTAAATATCAAGGCATAATGGAAACCTGAGTGAGGACAGCAAAACAAAGTGTGTCAACTGATAATACTAAAAAACTAGCCTTTTAGAAGATAATTTAAAATACACATTTTAAAAACAGAACATTATCCATTATATTGTAACCATAATTCTCTACCAATGTAGGTTGCACTATTGAAATAGATGCATCAGTTAAGAGTGAGTTACCCTTTAAGAAACAGAGAACACAATTTGCAGTGGCTTTGCAATAAGGAAATACTATTGAGACAAGAAGTCTAGTGGTAATTGACTGTAGACAATAATGTAGTTGCTCAAAATAAACAGGCTGCTATCTGTGTGATTCTCTTGGCCTTTTATTCACTATTATAAGACAAATACTTCTTCGGGAAATTCAGGGTTTAAAGAAAGAAGGATGATGGTGCTAGAGAAAGTTCGCTGTAGGGTTTGGCTCACATCTCATTGGCCAACATTGAGTCATGTGGCACTCCTGGCTGCAAAAGATGTTTATTTAGCCTCTATAGAAGAGATTAAAGAAGACAAAAAAAGGTTGGGGATGTAGGGTTGAACAAATCAACCTACAGTATCTTCCACATTTCTTTTTCCTCTTAGTGTATGTATTTTTGCTTGTGTGTCAAACTCCAAAATTATATTAACAGATCCTGAAAAAGAAATATTATTATTCAGTCTTCTCTTAATTAATAGGGACTTTAGCAAATGTCATGATGATTGATTTCCACTTAGGTTACTTTGTATTTTATATGTTAAAACTTTCAGTACTTCTTTGGAAACAATTAAACTAGGATTTTTAAGCCATGGTTTTTAGTGAATGGGTTATTTAGAGGATTTCCTAAGGGTTTTGACTAATAAGACATGTCAGCCGAAAAAAATATTTGCTGTCCCTTTAGGGATTCAAACTATTTAGTGTTACATAACACTACTCCAATACATTTGTAGCTGACTGCTAATAAACTGCACAAATGTCATCATTTCACATAGTCAGTCTCAGAAGAAATCATAAATATAAGAGATAAAAAAATTTTTACTTCTGCAAAAACCCCATCCAGATCTCTGCTTATCTATGTTGAAAGAGTAACTGCGCAAAAGAAGTTCCAAATTTTATTTTTAGGAGACTGTGAAAAAGCATCCAAAAGGACATCCGTGGGATATTTCTCCCACGTTTTTATTTAAAATTGGTATTTCATAGCTTAAGAGTTTAATTATTTTGTGCATTCTGAACATCATTTTGAGAAATGCCTGTAAGAATTAAGCATGTTTTGTCATTAAAGTCAAATTCTGATCAATTCAAATTTATTCAACAGACACATTTATTTAGGATTTATTGTGTGTTAAAAACTATTGTAGACAGACAGTAGGAGGGAATACAAAGAAGTAGTGGGGGAGGAAGACATGTATTTGTTGTTAGGACAGTATAGTTTGTGTGCCACATATAAGAAGAAATAGAATGCTTTTGTGGGGGCACAGGTGAGGAGTACCACTTCAACACCACCCAAATGAGTAAGCCAAGGAATTCCTGTGGAAAAGTGTATGACCCTTGCTTCCTGAAGGGTGGATTATTACTGAGTCTTAGAAAGATAATTCTAACTGGGGCTGGGTGCTGTGGCTCACCCCTGTAATCCCAGCACTTTGGGAGGCCAAGGTATGAGGAGCACTTGAGCCCATGAATTCAAGACCAACCTGGGGAACATAGCAAGACTCTATCTCTTCAAAAAATAAAAAAATCAAAATCAAAATTAACTGGGCATGGTGACACACACCTGCAGTCTTAGCTACCTGAGGGGCTGAGGTGGAAGGATTGCTTGAGACCAAAAGGTTGAGGCTGCAGTGAGCTGTGATCACAACACTGCACTCCAGCCTGGGTGACAGAGCCAGACTCTGTCTCTAAACAACAAAATATATAAATAAGTAAATAAAATAAAAATTATAATTAAGAAACCCATTACTTTCTCTACTATAGGCTGCCTTACTTACATTTTAAGAACCCCTTTTCAATATCTAGAGCTTCCTATTTCCCCTTCTAGCATTTTCTTTACTTGTGTACTGATTTCAGGCCCAGTATTTTCAACACATGGAATCAATAATCTGACCACTCCTTATTGCTCTTGCATTTTACAAAAGGATCTGAAGAAACATAAGATGTTTGGGAAGGAAAACTTTAATTCCTCTTTGCTCTTCTGATTGTTACTTAAGTTTCTGGAACCTCCAAGACCAATTAAAATTATCAGAGAATCTCAGAGTTTTGAACAATAACAGAATTACATTTACTAATCCTTCATCCCATTCTTCAATAATTCCCATATCTTTCTGCTCTCCACACTTTACTGTTTTCTCTTCTTGTTCTAAGATTTGATCACTCTGCCTATACCAAAATGGCAGAATTCTTGGGCATTTCTTAAACTTCTCAAGTAATAATTGATTCAAATGAAGCATGAAAATAGTTTTTTAATCTAATGTTCACACTTATCCCTAATACTTAGCTCTCACAAAATGTAACATCAAAATTTTCTTGACTCTTGATATGTTGCACAGCTACAGCTAATAGTGGAGTAAGAATGAGAAGTAGGCAATGATTTGGGTTTGTGTAATACTGAGTTGTCTATTGATAATTCAATGAGGACTTTAAAAATATATATATGCAAACCTTTCTGTAAATGTGAACACGTGCATTTCTAGGACAGGTTCATAGCTTTTACCAGATTATCAGAAGAGGGCTAAGACAGGAGGAAAGAAATGATAAGAATATTTGACCAGTATAAATGATGCTTACATAACTAATGGTACTTACTTATGTATATGGTAATGATTTGGATCCATCTCTCATCAAGTGCTCCTTTTCCTCTCAATGCTTATTTTTCCTCACAAATGTTAGTCCTTTCTCTTCTACTATTCATGAGAGCAAATGCAGGAGCCAAAAATTTAGGAAATCCCCAGGCAGAGAGGATTAGCAAATCTGCTGACTTTTTTTTTTTATATAGTTTTCTACTTTATTCTTCTCTTTTATTATACTTTAAGTTCTAGGGTACATGTGCACAACGTGCAAGTTTGTTACATATGTATACATGTGCCGTGTTGGTGTGCTACACCCATTAACTCTTCATTTACATTAGGTATATCTCCTAATGCTATCCCTCCTTCTTCTCCGCACCCCATGACAGGCCCCGGTGTGTGATGTTCCCCTTCCTGTGTCCGAGTGTTCTCATTATTCAATTCCCACCTATGAGTGAGAACATGCGGTGTTTGGTTTTTTGTCCTTGTGATAGTTTGCTGAGTATGATGGTTTCCAGCTTCATCCATGTCTCAACAAAGGACATGAACTTATCGTTTTTTATGGCTGCATAATATTCCATGGTGTATATGTGCCACATTTTCTCAATCCAGTCTATCATTGATGGACATTTGGGTTGGTTCCAAGTGTTTGATATTCTGAATAGTACCACAATAAACATATGTGTCTTTATAGCATGTGTCTTTATAGCAGCATGATTTATAATCCTTTGGGTATATACCCAGTAATGGGATGGCTGGATCAAATGGTATTTCTAGTTCTAGATCCTTGAGGAGTGGCCACACTGTCTTCCACAATGGTTGAACTAGTTTACAGCCCCACCAACAATGTAAAAGTGTTCCTATTTCTCCACATCCTCTCCAGCACCTGTTGTTTCCTGACTTTTTAATGATTGCCATTGTAACTGGTGTGAGATGGTATCTCATTGTGGTTTTGATTTGCATTTCTCTGATGGCCAGTGATGAGGCACATTTTTTCATGTGTCTGTTGGCTGCATAAATGTCTTCTTCTGAGAAGTGTCTGTTCATATCCTTCACCCAGTTTTTGATGGGGTTGTTTGTTTTTTTCTTGTAAATTTGTTTGAGTTCATTGTGGATTCTGGATATTAGCCCTTTGTCAGATGAGTAGGTTGCAAAAATTTTCTCCCATTCTGTAGGTTGCCTGTTTACTCTGATGGTAGTTTCTTTTGCTGTGCAGAAGCTCTTTAGTTTAATTAGATCCCATTTGTCAACTTTGGCTTTTGTTGCCATTGCTTTTGGTGTTTTAGACATGAAATCCTTGCCCATGCCTCCGTCCTGAATGGTATTGCCTAGGATTTCTTCTAGGGTTTTTATGGTTTTAGGTCTAACATTTAAGTCTTTAATCCATCTTGAATTAATTTTTGTATAAGGTGTAAGGAAGGGATCCAGTTTCAGCTTTCTACATATGGCTAGCCAGTTTTCCCAGCACCATTTATTAAATAGGGAATCCTTTCCCCATTGCTTGTTTTTCTCAGGTTTATCAAAGATCAGATTGTTGTAGATATATGGTATTATTTCTGAGGGCTCTGTTCTGTTCCACTGGTCTATATCTCTGTTTTGGTACCAGTACCATGCTGTTTTGGTTACTGTAGCCTTGTAGTATACTTTGAAGTCAGGTAGCATAATGCCTCCAGCTTTGTTCTTTTGGCTTAGGACTGACTTGGCAATGTGAGCTCTTTTTTGGTTCCATATGAACTTTAAAGTAGTTTTTTCCAATTCTGTGAAGAAAGTCATTGGTAGGTTGATGGGGATGGCATTGACTCTATAAATTACTTGGGCAGTATGGACATTTTCACGATATTGATTATTCTTATCCATGAGCATGGAATGTTCTTCCATTTGTTTGTGTCCTCTTTTATTTCGTTGAGCAGTGGTTTGTAGTTCTCCTTGAAGAGGTCCTTCACATCCCTTGTAAGTTGGATTCCTAGGTATTTTATTCTCCTTGAAGCAATTGTGAATGGGAGTTCACTCATGATTTGGCTCTGTTTGTCTGTTATTGGTGTATAAGAATGCTTGTGATTTTTGCACATTGATTTTGTATCCTGAGACTTTGCTGAAGTTGTTTATCAGCTTAAGGAGATTTTGGGTTGAGACAATGGGGTTTTCTAAATATACAATCATGTCATCTGCAAACAGGGACAATTTGACTTCCTCTTTTCTTAATTGAATACCCTTTATTTCTTTCTCCTGCCTGATTGCCCTGGCCAGAACTTCCAACACTATGTTGAATAGGAGTGGTGAGAGAGGGCATCCCTTTCTTGTGCCAGTTTTCAAACGGAATGCTTCCAGTTTTTTGCCCATTCAGTATGATACTGGCTGTGAGTTTGTCATAAATAGCTCTTATGATTTTGAGATATGTCCCATCAATACCTAATTTGTTGAGAGTTTTTAGCATGAAGGGCTGTTGAATTTTGTCAAAGGCCTTTTCTGCATCTATTGTGATAATCATGTGGTTTTTGTCTTTGGTTCTGTTTATATGCTGGATTACATTTATTGATTTGTGTGTGTTGAACCAGCAGGATGAAGCCCACTTGATCATGGTCAATAAGGTTTTTCATGTGCTGCTGGATTCGCTTTGCCAGTATTTTATTGAGGATTTTTGCATCAAAGTTCATCAGGGATATTGGTCTACAATACTCTTTTTTTTGTTGTGTCTCTGCCAGGCTTTGGTATCAGGATGATGCTGGCCTTATAAAATGAGTTAGGGGGGATTCCGTCTTTTTCTATTGATTGGAATATTTTCAGAAGGAATGGTACCAGCTCCTCCTTGTACCTCTGGTAGAATTCGGCTGTGAATCCATTTGGTCCTGGACGTTTTTTGGTTGGTAGGCTATTAATTATTGCCTCAATTTCAGAGCCTGTTATTGGTCTATTCAGGGATTTAACTTCTTCCTGGTTTAGTCTTAGGAGGGTGTACGTGTCCAGGAATTTATCCATTTCTTCTAGATTTTCTAGTTTATTTGCGTAGAGGTGTTTATAGTATTCTCTGATGGTAGTTTGTATTTCTGTGGGATTGGTGGTGATATCCCCTTTATCATTTTTTATTGCATCTATTTGATTCTTCTCTCTTGTCTTCTTTATTAGTCTTGATAGCAGTCTTTCAATTTTGTTGACCTTTTCAAAAAACCAGCTCCTGGATTCATTGATTTTTTGAAGGGTTTTTCATGTCTCTATCTCCTTCAGTTCTGCACTGATCTTGTTATTTCTTGCCTTCTGCTAGCTTTTGAATGTGTTTGCTCTTGTTTCTCTAGTTCTTTTAATTGTGATGTTAGGGTGTCAATTTTAGATCTTTCCTGCTTTCTCCTGTGGGCATTTAGTGCTATAAATTTCCCTCTACACACTGCTTTAAATATGTCCCAGAGATTCTGGTATGTTGTGTCTTTGTTCTCATTGGTTTCAAAGAGCATCTTTATTTCTGCCTTCATTTCGTTATGTACCCAGTAGTCATTCAGGAGTGGGTTGTTCAGTTTCCATGTAGTTGAGTGGTTTTGAGTGAGTTTCTTAATCCTGAGTTCTAGTTTGATTGCACTGTAGTCTGAGAGACTGTTGGTTCTTATTTCTGTTCTTTTACATTTGCCGAGGAGTGCTTTACTTCCAACTATGTGCGACGTGGTGCTGAGAAGAAAGTATATTCTGTTGATTTGGGGTGGAGAGTTCTGTAGATGTCTATTAGGTCTGCTTGGTGCAGACCTAATAAGTTTGGAATAAGTGCGACGTGGTGCTGAGAAGAGAGTATATTCTCTTGATTTGGGGTGGAGAGTTCTGTAGATGTCTATTAGGTCTGCTTGGTGCAGAGCTGAGTTCAATTCCTGGGTATCCTTGTTAACTTTCTGTCTTGTTGATCTGTCTAATGTTGACAGTGGGGTGTTAAAGTCTCCCATTATTATTGTGTGGGAGTCTAAGTCTCTTTCTAGTCTCTAAGGACTTGCTTTATGTATCTGGGTGCTCCTGTACTGGGTGCATATATATTTAGGACAGTTAACTCTTCTTGTTGAATTGATCCCTTTACCATTATGTAATGGCCTTCTTTGTCTCTTTTGATCTTTGTTGGTTTAAAGTCTGTTTTATCAGAGACTAGGATTGCAACTCCTGCTTTTTTTTTTTTTTTTTTCCATTTGCTTGGTAGATTTTCCTCCATCCCTTTATTTTGAGCCTATGTGTGTCTCTGCACGTGAGATGGGTCTCCTGAATACAGCACACTGATGGTTCTTGACTCTTTATTGAATTTGCCAGTCTGTGTCTTTTAACTGGAGAATTTAGCCCATTTACATTTAAGGTTAATATTGTTATGTGCGAATTTGATCCTGCCAATTATGATGATAACTGGTTATTTTGCTCATTAGTTGATGCAGTTTCTTCCTAGCATCGATGGTCTTTACAATTTGGCATGTTTTTGCAGTGGCTGGTGCTGGCTGTTCCTTTCCATGTTCAGTGCTTCCTTCAGGAACTCTTGTAGGGCAGGCCTGGTGTGACAAAATCTCTCCGAATTTGCTTGTCTGTAAAGGATTTTATTTCTCCTTCACTTATGAAGCTTAGTTTGGCTGGATATGAAATTCTGGGGTTGAAAATTCTTTTCTTTAATAATGTTGAATATTGGCCCCCACTCTCTTCTGGCTTATAGAGTTTCTGCCGAGACATCTGCTGTTAGTCTGATGGGCTTTCCTTTGTGGGTAACCCGACCTTTCTCTCTGGCTGCCCTTAACATTTTTTCCTTCATTTCAACTTTGGTGAATCTGATAATTATGTGTCTTGGAGTTGCTCTTCTCGAGGAGTATCTTTGTGGCATTCTCGTATTTCCTGAATTTGAATGTTGGCCTGCCTTGCTAGGTTGGGGAAGTTCTCCTGGATAATATTCTGCAGAGTGTTTTCCAACTTGGTTCCTTTCTCCCCATCACTTTCAGGTACACCAATCAGATGTAAATTTGGTCTTTTCACACAGTCCCATATTTCTTGGAGGCTTTGTTCATTTCTTTTTACTCTTTTTTCTCTAAACTTATCTTCTCACTTCATTTCATTCATTTGATCTTCAATCACTGATACCCTTTCTTCCAGTTGATGGAATCAGCTACTGAAGCTTGTGCATTCATCACGTAGTTCTTGTGCCATGGTTTTTTGTGCCATCATGTCATTTAAGGACTTCTCTACACTGGTTATTCTAGTTAGCCATTTGTCTAATCTTTTTTCAAGGTTTTTAGCTTCTGTATGATGGGTTCGAACTTCCTCCTTTAGCTCGGAGAAGTTTGATCATCTGAAGCCTTCTCTCAATTCGTCAAAGTTATTCTCCATCCAGCTTTGTTCCATTGCTGGCGAAGAGCTGAGTTCCTTTAGAGGGTGAGAGGCATTCTAATTTTTAGAATTTTCAGCTTTTCTGTTCTGTTTCTCCCTCATCTTTGTGGTTTTATCTACCTTTGGTCTTTGATGATGGTGACGTACAGATGGGGTTTTGGTGTGGATGTCCTTTCTGTTTGTTAGTCTTCCTTCTAACAGTCAGGACCCTCAGCTGCAGGTCTGTTGGAGTTTGCTGGAAGTCCACTCCCGACCCTGTTTGCCTGGGTATCAGCAGTGGTGGCTGCAGAACAGCGAATATTGCTGAACAGCAAATGTTGCTGCCTGATCGTTCCTCTGGAAGCTTCGTCTCAGAGGGGAACCTGGCCATGTGAGGTGTCATTCTGCCCCTACTGAGGGGTGCCTCCCCATTAGGTTACTCGGGGGTCAGGGACCCGCTTGAGGAGGCAGTCTGTCCATTCTCAGACCTCAAACTCCGTGCTGGGAGAACCACTACTCTCTTCAAAGCTGTCAGACAGGGACATTTAAGTCTGCAGAGGTTCAAGTAATGATGAAGGATTGCATAAAAGATATTTGAGTATAGGAGAAAATGTAATATTAATGTTCTATTTTAATCGCCTATAATCTCTCAATAATTCAAGTACACTTATGAGAGATCATTCACCCCTCCTTGTCATCTCCACAATCCCTTCTCTCCCAACAACACCACCATGCCATTGTGGATATTGTCCTTCCATTGCAGGCAACAGACAACCATCTTGTAAATACATATTCCATACCACATTCCACTCAAGGTGCTCAGATCAGATAGAATGAAGTAAGAAGATGGTGATATCTTAGTAAATACACTTGAACATAAGCCTTCACATTTACATTAATTTCTTCCTTAACATCAGCCACCTGAGGCTGAGTCATTCCTCAAAATGTTAGCAGAACTTCTTTAGATCTTGTTTAGTCTCATTAATATAAAGCAAAGGTTCTCAATGCTGGCTGCACATTAAAATAACCTGGGGGCTGGGGGCAGTGGCTCACGCCTGTAATCCCAGCACTTTGGGAGGCTGAGGCAGGCGGGTTCCAAGGTCAGGAGATCGAGACCATCCTGGCTAACATGGTGAAACCCCATCTCTACTGAAAAAATACAAAAAATTGGCCAGGTGTGGTGGTGGGTGCCCATAGTCCCAGCTACTCTGGAGGCTGAGGCAGGAGAATGGCATGAACCCGGGAGGCGGAGCTTGCAGTGAGCTGATATTGCACCACTGCGCTCCAGCCTGGGAGACAGCGAGACTCCGTCTCAAAATAAATAAATAAATAAATAAATAAATAAATAAATAAATAAATAAAATAACCTGGGAAAATTTGAAATTACTGATGCCAATATTACAACCTGAAGATTCTGCTTTAAATATACTAAAGCCATGGTTCTTATTCCAGGCTATCCATCAGAATCACCTGTGGGTGTTTTTAATGATCTACATGCCTGTTCTCTATTTCCAGATAGCTGAATATGAATCTCTGACATGTGAACTCCCTATACAATTGTAGTTTCCAATACTTTGCAAGTGATTCTAATATAGAGTAATGGGTTGAGTCTCATTACTCCACATTCACACTTCCTCATTGGTCCAAAATAGGAAGCCCAGCTCTAGTCAATGGAATAACTTCCACATGGTGTTTAGTTTTTTGCAAAAATTAATCACTCAACATTTTAAAAAGAATTTGTCACAGACTCTAACATATAGCAAAAACAAAAACGTGGCCTTGGAGTAAATCAATTTATAATCCTTTTATGTGATTTCTTTTGAGTGGCCAACATTTTACTGTCTGCAAATAGATATTCCTAATCACTATGCCCTGGTCTGAAGTTTTCAAAATTACCCAAAGTCGTGAATGCTGTGAAATATATATGGTTTCCTTCACAAAATATATCATAGGATATGAGTGGACAAGAACAAAACCACATGAAAGTGTACGTGCAGGCAGTTCATCCAGGATTACTCACTAGCAAACAAAAATAAAAGCTGACATTTATTCAACAATTATTATCTGTTTAAAATTTTCTGACAACCTTGTAAGCATTATAAAATTTAATTCTTATGACTGCCTTCTAGGATAGGTATTATTGTTATTCCCAAATGACAGACTGGGAAAATAAAAATTAGGAAGCTTAAGTGATGCTTTTGCTTATCAGCTTCATAGAACTGTGATGCCTAAGTAAAATTACAAATTACTATATCGTAGTGATTTTCACAATAACATAAAAGTAGTCAAAATTATGACCTTTATGCCTGTAAATACCAAGATTTGCCTGCTTGCATTCTAATGAATATATTAAATGAAAGTCTGTTAACGCTATCACATAAATGCATTGCCTTCCAAGCCTAAAACCCCATGGTGTGAACTTTCCCTTCCAAAATACATTAACTTTTTTGGTTCTGTTAGTGCAGCTGGTGGATAATACTTAAAATGGAGTTCTAAGAAAACAGACAGTGACTCAATTTCTACAGAACAGTAGACTCATGTTTAAACAAATACACACAAATTTATTCTGCAGTGACATAATTTATTGTTCAATGATTTATCAATATTATATTATTACAACTGAATCCATATGGACCAGAAAAAGATTATTCACACAAATCACAAAGATACTGTGGTAGGTAGAATAATGGGCTCCTCCAAAATGCCCATGTCCTAGTCCTCAGTCCCTATGAATATGTTTTCTTACATGGCTAAAGGGACTTTATAAGGACCTTTTGAAGGCAGATTATACTGAATTATCTGGATAGGCCCCATCTAATTACTTAAGTCCTTAAGAGTAGAAGAAGATAGGCAGAAGACAATGTCATAGTGATGTGGCTTGGAAAGGCTTCAACCCACTTCTGTAGATTTTGAAGACAGAGAAAGAGGCCATGAGCCAAGGAATGTGGGTGGCCTCTAGAAGCTGCTAAAGGCAAGCAACTAATATTCTCTTATAGCCTCCAGAAAGGAACACAGCCTTGATTTTAGCCCAGTAAGACCTGTGTCAGAGTTCTGACCTACTGCACAATAATAAATTTGTGCTATTTTTAGCCACAAAATTAATGGCAATTTGTTACAGCAGTAATAAAAAGCTAATACAAGGCAAGGATGCCCACTTTTGCCACTTATGTTCCGTAAAGTTTTGGAACTCCAAATTAGGCAAGAAAAAGCATCCAAATTGGAAAGGAAGAAGTATAATTATCTGTGTTTGGGGATGACATGATCTTGTATGTACAAAGCTCCAAAGTATCTACAAAAAAAGCGATGGGATGCAAAAATAATTTCAGTACATTTGCAAGATACTACATTAACATAAAAAGTCAGTTCAGTTTTTGTACACTAAAAATGACACATCTGAAAATGAAACTCAGAAAACAATCCCATTTACAGTAACATCAAAAAAAAAGTTAGGAATAAATCTAACCAAGAGGGTGAACATATTCACTGAAAAGTGTAAGACACTGATAAAAGAAGTTAAAGCACACACAAATAAATGGAAAGACATCTCAGGTTTATGGATGAGAAGAATTAATATTGTTAAAACGTCCATACTATGCAAAGCAATCTTCAGATTCGATCCAATCTCTGTCAAAATCCCAATGGTATTCTTTACAGAAATAGAAAAAATCTTGAAATTCATTTGGAGCCACAAAAGACCCCAAATACACAAAACAATCTGAACAAGAAGAACAAAGCTGGAGATATCACACTCTCGATTTTAAAATATATTAAAAACTACTGTGATTAAAACAGTATGGTACTGGCATAAAAATAGATAGATAGATAGATAGATAGATAGATAGATAGATAGATAGATAGATACACACACACATACACACACCCCAATGGAACAGAATAGAGAGCCCAAAAGTAATTCCACACACCTAAATTTAACTAATATTTAACAAGGATGTCAAGAATGTACAATAGGGAAAGGGTAGTCTCTTTAATAAACAGTATTGGAAAAACTGGTTATTTACAAGCAAAAGAATGAAATTGAACCATTATCTTACATGGTACACAAAATTTAAATCAGGTTTAAGACTTAAATGTAAAACATGAAGCCATAAAACTCTTAGAAGAAAACATAGGGAAAAATATTCTTGATGATGGACAATTGACTTGGCAATGATTTCTTGAATATGACACCAAAAGCATAAGCAACAAAAGCCAAAATAGACAAGTGGGATTACATCAAACTAAATACTTTTGCATGGCAAAGGAAACAATTAAAAAATAAAATGGGAACCAACAGAATGGAAGAACATATTTGCAAATCATATATCTGATAAGGGATTACTATCCAAAGTATATAAGAAACTCCTAAGACTCAATAGCAAGAAAATGAACAATTTAATTTTTAAAAAGGCAAGGAACTGAATAGACATTTCTCCAAAGACATACAAATGTCAACAGGTATATGAAAAGATTCTCAACCTCACTAATCATTAGGGAAATGCAAATCAAAACCACAATGAGATATCATCATATATCTGTTAAAATGACTATTATCAAACAACAAATAAATAAAAGATAATGAGTATTAGAAAGGAGGTGGAGAAATTGGAACCTCTGTACATTGTAGGTGGGAATGTAAAATGGTGCAGTTGCTGTAGAAAACAGTATGGAGGTGTCTCAAAAAATTAAAAATAGAACTGCCATATGATTCAGCAATTTCACTTCTGAGTATGTATCTAAAAGAATTGGAATCAAGATTTTAGGCAGATAGCTACATTTTTATGTTCATTGCAGTGTTGTTTACAATAGCCAAGATATGGAAACAACAAATATGTCCATTACAAATGAAGGATACAGAAATTTGCTATATACCTAAAACAGAACCTTAAAAAAAGAAAATCCTGGCTGGGCATGTTGGCTCACACCTGTAATCCCAGCACTTTGGGAGGCCGAGGCAGGTGGACTACCTGAGGTCAGGAGTTCGAGGCCAGCCTGGCCAACATGGTGAAAACCCATCTCTACTAAAAATACAAAAATTAGCCATGTGTCGTGGCACATGCATGTAGTCCCAGCTACAGGTTGAGGCAGGAGAATCGCTTGAACCCAGGAGGTGAAGATGGCAGTGAGCCGAGATCGTGCCACTACACTCCAGCCTGGGTGACAGAGTGAGACTCTGTCTCAAAAATAAATAAATAAATAAATAAATAAATAAATAAATAAATAAATAAATACTTTCTTAAAAAAGAAAATCCTGCCTTTTGTGACAACTTGGATGAATCTGGAAGACATTATCCCAAGTGAGATAGGTCAATCACAGAAGGACAAACACTGCATGATTTTTCTTACACATAAGATACTTCTAAAATAGCCAATGGTATAGAAGTAGACAATAGAATGGTGTTACCAGAGAATGGGAGAAGGGGCATATAAGGAGTTTTTATAAATCTTGTATAAATTTACAGATATAGGAAATAAATGAGTTTCAGAGATCTTCTGTAAAACATAGTACCTATGACTAACAAAAGGTCTTATGTACTTAAAATTTTTTTTAACAGAGTAGAGCTCATGTTAAATGTCAACACAAGAAACAAAAGAAAAAAGGGATGCAATGTTGGAATTGCAAATTATAAATCAAAAGAAGGGGGAAGTAGATAAGGATATAGATAGGGCAGCATTGCCTGCAGGTTGGAGTTGAGTGATTGGGGTTCATCATAATATTGTATCTGTTTTTATGTACATATAAAATTCTCCAAAAAGTGAAGTTTTAAAAAATACTACAGGTTAGAAAGATTGGCCATATATTTTTTACTTGATGCCAAATTTAAAGGACAGTTGGAAACAACTAATTTTTCCCTATGAATTGATACTTCTATCTGTCCTGTCCATTTTATTTTCCCTGTCACAGCCATCCGAGTTCAGATATTCATTATATGGTCCCTGGGTTCCTGCAATCAACTCCTACCTAATGCCCTTTACTTCATTCAACATCTCCCCAAATCCATCTCTCTACCACAGTCACTCTAGCCTTTATTATTCCATTCAAACACACATATGCTATTCAAGGGTATTCTGTATGCAAATTGATTTGCTCTACTTTTAAGGTTTTCCATCGTTTAGTCCAGACTATTTATTTCACTACCCTCTAACCC